>NC_000013.11:91707524-92010554 GCF_000001405.40 Homo sapiens | reverse complement strand
CCAAGTCTAATTATGTTGGGGCTTAGTGCTTCAATATAGAGATTCTGGGGAACACAGTTCAGTCCATAACATGTGTGCAGTTGCAAAATCCAATTAGCACTTCCTCAACTTTTTTTCCCTTGCCAGATAAAACTCTTATTGCGATATTCATTTATTTGCTCAGTCAACTAATATTTATTCAACCTCTACTATATGTGATTTACTGTCCTACATATTAGAAAACAACAATAAATAAAACGAGCAAAAACCCACAAGTGTATGTGGCTATACTTTACTTTGAGGCTGGGGGAGAGCAGAAAATAAACAACATAAATATGTAAAATATATGATATGTTAAGTGCTGATAAACGTATTGAAGCAGATGTAAAACAGGAAAGAAGGATAGGGAATGGAAACAGAGTGAAATCCCAAACAGGGTAATAATGTTAGCCCTTACCAAGAATGCAGTATTTTAGAAATACCTGAGGAAGATGAGTAAGTCTGCCAAGCTTATATTATCCTTATATATGTTTATGCATTTATCATTTTATATTATTTCCTTTGTTTATATCTATACAAAGTACTCTATGTTTACAAAATTATACAAGGGGATTCCACTTCTCAAGATGAGTATCTGGACTTAGACTATATACCCTCATGATATAAATAAGTGGAAATTGAAAGCAACTGTGAAATATGGTTTTAAGCTTGGAAAGTAGGAAGCACAGAACTATGACCTGTGAGAAAAGATAAATAAAAAAGGTGAGTCCTTAATTGCTATGGCTCTCTGCCAGGAGGAACCTTCAAGAAAGTGGTTAAGAAATGGGGTTTTCAAGTGACATTTGATAGCTTGAATGACTTGAAGAGACAAAGGAAATTATTTGGGTAGGCAGAGGTGGCTGGAATTTGCAGGGAAGAATTAGAAAGTGGAAAGCTACAAGGAGAAAAACCCCTAGAAATCTGCACTGGGTTCTTTAGACTTTGTTGCTGAATATAAAAGCTGCATATGTGTAAGATAAAACTCTACCTGCCTGAGCAAGAATGATTGGGGGACAGGGGTGTAAACTGAGGAATGTTTTTACATTTTGACCTGCCAGAGAGGAGAGTTCTCATTGAATAGTTAGTAGAGTCTCTAGACATTGTCACCTTTATTTTACAACTAGACTAGCCTCAGAACAAAGGCTATTCAAGACCCCCACAAAAAAGCTTAAAAATAAGCTCTGAAATAAAATCAAGCTGATCTCCCAGTAACTAAACTGGTTACTCCAACAAAATCCATCCCATATTGAAACACACACACACACACACACACACACACACACGAAAATCCAGCACTCAACAGATAAAAAAAAATAATGAGCATCAAATACAAAATTATTGTATATGCCAAGAAGAAGAAAAAAGTGAACTCTTAACCAAGAGAAATGTTATTCAGTAGACGCATAACCAGAAATGAAAGAGATAATGCTATAAAATAAAAGCTGTTATAAATTTGTTCAAGTATTTAAAGGAAAACATAAAATAATTAGGCAAGAAATGGAATATACAACAAAGTAATCAGATAAAACTTCTACAGATGAAAGTAAAATATATGATATAAATAATTCACTAGATGGTATTAAAAGCATATTGGATATAGCGGAAGGAAAGATTGGTGAATTTGAAGACATAGCAATAGAAACTATGCAAATTGAAGCACATAGAGAAAAAAAGGAAAAAAATGAAATGAACAGAGCATACTAACCTATGAGACAATATTAAACATTACAACATATGTGAAACTGTAATTTTTAAAGGGAGAAAGGGGAGCAGAAAAAAATTTCAAGAAGTAATGTCAAAAATCTACATTTGATGAAAACGAAAAACTCACAGATTCAGGAAGTTTAGCAAACACAACACGGAGACAAGAATTACTGCCGGCTTCTTCCTCAGAAACCGCTTAATTAAACCAGAAGAAAAATGGAACTACATTGTCAAATAGAATTCTATATCCAGCTAAACTTTATTCCAAAATTATTTTTTAAAAAGATAATTTTGCTTTTAGTCAAACAAACACTGAAAGAATGTGCTGCCAACAAACAGCACTAAAAAAAAAACCCATAAAGAGATGCTTCCTCATGGGGAAGAAAAATGACACCAGATGGAAACGCTAAATTTCACAAAGGAATGAAAAATGAAAAATGTTCAATCTGTAGGTAAATATAAAACATTTTCGGCCGGGAGCAGTGGCTCACGCCTGTAATCCTAGCACTTTGGGAGGCCGAGGCGGGCGGATCACGAGGTCAGGAGATCCAGACCATCCTGGCTAACACGGTGAAACCCCGTCTCTACTAAAAATACAAAAAATTAGCCGGGCGTGGTAGCGGGCGCCTGTAGTCCCAGCTACTCAGGAGGCTGAAGCAGGAGAATGGCGTGAACCCGGGAGGCGGAGCTTGCAGTGAGCCGAGATTGCGCCACTGCACTCCAGCCTGGGCGACAGAGCGAGACTCCGTCTCAAAAAAAAAAAAAAAAAAAAATTATTCTCATTCACCGTGTTCTTTGATAAGTCATGTACTGTTCCAAGAAAACTAATAACCAGGAATTATAGAATTTATAACATATGTAGAAGTAAATGCTATGGGAACAATCACCCAAAGAGTAAAGTGGAAACGGAAGTATAGAGTTTTGGAGTCCTCATATGTGAAGGTGTACATGGCATAAAGGGAGACTAGGATACGTTGCCAGTGCCTATTTCATCTTGAGCGACCATATTTTAAAAGTCGTCTAGATAATAAACAAAGAGTAAAAATAAAAGGAAAAGGAGGAAAAGAACAAGCTAGAACAGATTAGAAAGTGGAAAGCAAGTAGGAGAACTATAATTTCAAATCAAACTATATTAATAATTACACTAAAAACTAACGATTCAAAGTTCTAAAAAAGCAGAGATTGACAAATTGTGTTTTAAAATAAACCATATACAGCCTGAAAGACACACAATTTAAATATAAAGACCGAGATAAATCTAATATTAATATTGGTGACAAACGAATCATAAGGATGCTGGAGTAGCTCTTCACACAAAGCATATTTCAAAATATATATTATTATGTGGAATAAAGACAGACTCTTTATAATGACAAAAGGGCAAATTCATCAAAAACATTAAACAATCCTAAACGTGTATGAACCTAATATCAGAACTTCAATATGCATAAAACAAAAACTGATGGAATGAAAAATGTGGTAGACTAAACTACAACTCCAATAGGAGATTTCAGCCAATATATCTACTGTTATGATTAGTAGAGGCAAATGATGACAGGGAGCCAAATGCATAGTGCAATGTCAAATGATTATTGCCTTTTAAAATATGTATGCTGGCCTGGCCATTATGCAGTGTGTTGATAAATAGAAATCCTGTTATAGCTTGATATTGAGAGTAAATTGTGAAAACAGCTAAGAATATTTTCCCTGGAATGAAATGTCATATTGCATACTGAACTTTTATGGTTTAAAATTGCACACTAGCATCAATACAAATTTACTTTATCATATTAAAGGTCACAAGAAAGTGCTTAATAAGACAAACTCAATTATTAATACTTAACTAAGCAATATGATTGAAGATATGTAATTAAAGCAGAATTCATAACATCCACAACTATGTATGCTACAACATTACAAAAATGTACTTTATAATAAAACAAAGTTAATTAACTAATGAGTGGATAATGAAAATCAGCCAACTCGATCATTCTCCAAATCTATAAGCTATGAAACTCACAAAATTAGGCAAAGAATATACTTCTACTATATCTGTGTGTGTGTGTATGTTTATGAATGTGTGTGTGTCTCTCTCTCTTCATTTTCATAATCTGAAATAATGAAAAGTCTACTGAGAAATACAAGCATCTTTGATTGTAAGATCTTGGTAGGTCAAGGAAGTTCTCTTTGGAAGTAACTTAAAGGTAAATGTTTTCCACTACATTTGATACAAGATCAAGAGTTTACTTGGGTATGAATCGACATTAGGAGAGAAATTCAGAGCCTAGTATAAGACAAAGGTAGTAGGAAGGCACTTTTGTGCTAGACAAGTGGAGTTTCAAAACTCTTCAAGCTAAAAGGAAATCAATATTTATTTACTTTTTTAAAACACACAATTTCTTAGCCTTAGAGAGTGCTAATTGCTTGTCACAGAAGTACAACTTTTCCAGATAAGGCAACTAGAGTTCATTTAGGAAGTAATCTCACATTTCACAGAAATGGTTTTAGGAAGCACTGTCAAAATATACATATATTTCTGTATATTTAGCTGTCATTTATCCACTTAAATTATTTTGGTACATTTTTCCAATTTTACTTCTGATGATTCAGACTATGCCATCATTTTGAGTACAGAAAAGACAGATAATACTTACTGTATATTGTTTGCACATATGTCATAAAAGCCACAAACATTATACATTTATAATATACAAACTCAGTGGTGTAAGATACTTTTTATGGTATAACTGGACTAAGTATTTCTCCAAGTGACAACATTAGAAAGGAAAATATATTTTCTTTCATGTCTTGGGGTAGATGCTAAGTATAGACTTTTGTGGGTCTTTTATAGCCAGAAAAAAAGGTTTATCAGGTTACATCTAGTTTCTTTGAGAATACACAGTGCTCCTAGCTTGAGGATACTTTTCTCCCACTATCTATGAGTAACTAATTTAGTGGCATATAAATATCTTCTTTCCCAATAATGATATAAACTCAGGAAATATTCCAATATTGTTAAACCATTCATTCATTCAATGGAAAAACTGGATATCCATATGCAGAAGAACCAGCAGATATTTGTTGATCACTAATTATAGGCTAGGAACTGTCCTGGGTGCAGGGAGATATAGCAGTGAACACAATAGGCAATGTTTTTGCTTTCTTGGAGCTTATAGTCTAGAAGGGAGATATGGATAATCAAATAAGTTACATGTATCTGTGTATATACATATATAATACATACACAAATATTTGTAAATAGCAATATATCCTATACATAAAATTAGGGATAAGAGGAGGATAAGGAACCCTGAAAGGAGAAGGGATAATAGTCCCTTCTATGACGTCTGTGTAAGACATCACTAAAAATGTGGTATTGGTGTGAGGACCTGAAGCTGAGGGCCCTAACCACAGGAAAGCTAGAATCAAGAGGGCTGTAGCCAAACGGGAGGAGAAATCAAGGCGAAGACTATGGTGGCAGAGTGAGTTTTCAGCTTCTAGTCACAACAGATTTAAACGTGGATAAAAGGCCAAAGTAGTGTAAGGCTGTTGCAGTTTTGTGAAGTATAAGAAATTTCTTGGGCTCCCTTTTCATTCCTCTTGATGGAATCCTGTAAGCCAGGGAGGGAAAATCTTAACCGACTTTAGTTTTCTTTTTTAGGGATTGCAAACAAAGGGGATTTGTGCTAAACTTGTGTGATAGTTAATACTGAGGGTCAAGTTGATTGGATTGAAGGATGCAAAGTATTGTTCCTGGGTGTGTCTATGGAGTATGTTGCCAAAGGAGATTCATATTTGAGTCAGTGGACTGAGAAAGGCAGACCCACCCTCAATTTGGGTGGCAAAATCTAATCAGCTGCCAGTGTGGCCAGAATAAAAGCAAGCCATCTAAATTTTATTTTGAATTGCAGCTCCGATAATTCTCACGTGTTATGGGAGGGACCTGGTGGGAGATAATTGAATCATGAGGGCAGTTTCCCCTACAATGTTCTCATGTTAGTGAATAAGTCTCTTAAGATCTGATGTTTTTACAAGGGGTTTCCCTTTTCACTTGGTTTTTATTCTTTCTTGCCTGCCACCACGTAAGATGTGCTTTTCACCTTCCACCATGATTGTGAGGCCTCCCCATCCACATGGAACTGAGTCCATTAAACCTCTTTTTCTTTATAAATTATCCAGTCTCGGTTACGTCTTTATCAGCAGCATGAAAATGTACTAATGTAAATTGTGACTCTATTCTATCTAACATTAATTTTCTTTTAATCCATGACTCTGATTGCATGAATAGAGTCATATATACTTTGTAGATAAGTACTCTTTGCATGAAAAGCTATAGTGTAATTATATATATATATATATATATATATATATATAATTTTTTTTTTTTTTGAGACGGAGTCTCACTCTGTCTCCAGGATGGAGTGCAGTGGTGCAATCTCAGCTCATTGCAACCTCCACCTCCCTGGTTCAAGTGATTCTCCTGCCTCAGCCTCCTGAGTAGCTGGGACTACAGGCGCACGTCACCACATCCAGTTAATTTTTGTATTTTTAGTAGAGACAGGGTTTCACCATGTTGGCCAGGATGGTCTCCATCTCTTGACCTTGTGATCCACCTACCTCAGCCTCCCAAAGTGCTAGGATTACAGGCATGAGCTACTGCGCCTGGCCTATAGTGTCATTATTAAATGCATAAGAAGAATAAACACTTTGGGAAAATAAAGTCAAAACTGTTTTTACAGTAACAAAATCTTGAGAAATATTCTATAGGAAAAATAGCTTCAGCTAAATTTTCTATCAAGTTTCTTGTTCAAAATTCTAGTGATGTTCATGGTATATACTTCATAAAACTCCTGGTGAGGAGGTAGGAGGATCTTTTAATTTTTTAATCCACTTCTGGCAGCAGTGAGAGATTATAAGAGGCTTGTTTTTAATCTTCTCACAGATCAGATTTAGTGATTTTAATCTTCTCTCATTTTGTACTTGTACTGCCTGAATTCTGAAGTGTAACATTTCATCAATATGGATCAAGACTACTCACAACTTACTGTATTATTGTTCACAGTAGATGTGAAAGGGCTGTTATTTCTTTATTTTTATGCTTGTTTAATTACCAAGAAAAGAAGGGAATTAGATTATAGCAAAAAGAATAACAAAATACAGATTGGATGTGCACTATTACAATCAAGAATTAACTAGTTGAACCGATTAAAACAAATTTGTAAATGTGTTCATCTAATGTACAATTTAGCCTTACTAGATTTGAAATACTGACATCCTATAATCTGTTAAATGTTATATTTGGGTTCAAACTGCTGCATATAGAGTTTAACTCTAATATTTTCAATTGAAGAAAACAAACATCCTTTCACTGAAAAAAAAAATCTCGATTGGATGGTAAATTTCTGATGTTCTATGGATTGGAGCAAATACTAGGTGCTTATCTACAATATCAGATAGAGTAATTTTCTTTTTTAAAACATTTCTTTTCTTTTTTTTTTTTTTTTTTTGTGTTAAGACAGAGACTCACTCTGTTGCCCAGGCTGGGGTGCAGTGGTGCCATCTTGGCTCACTCCAACTGCCGCTTCCCAGATTCAAGCTATTCTCCTGCCTCAGTCTCCTGAGTAGCTGGGAGTAGCTGGGATTACAGGTATGCACCACCACGCCCAGCTAATTTTTGTATTTTTAGTAGAGACGGGGTTTTGTCATGTTGGCCAAGCTGGTCTCGAACTCCAGACCTTTGGTGATCCACCCGCCTTGGCCTCCCAAAGTGCTGGGATTATAGGAGTGAGCCACTGTGCCTGGCCAGGTGGAGTAATTTTTTTCTACTACTTTTAAATTTTGTTAAGTACCTCAGGGTTTCCTACTCTTCCATTTAAATGTTCTTAAATGCTTTACTCTTTGTTTCTAAGTAACAACATAGCCAACAACTGTGGTTACATCCATCCACCCTGTAGGTTCAGCTTCTGAACAGCAGAGTGCTGGCACAGGGAAGAGTTTTCAGCTCATATCAACTGAATAAAGAAAGGGTCTGTTTTTGCTTTTTTAGAAATTAAGATACACCAGCCTGTAGTATTGTCTGATTTGGTCATTCCTAAAAGTAGTTTTTTTTGGTTGTTGTTCACTTTATATGTTCCATTCCTATCTTGTTTCTTGTTTACTTTAAATAGCATACTGCCTATTTGAATTGGTACTTTAATTCTTTGCATACGTTTTTACTATTTTTGTGTGCTTATTCAAATGTATCCCTTATGTTTCCAGTCTTTGTAACATGTTACTATAAAGAATGGTTTTCCCTCCACAACATCCAACAAAATGTTGGTGGCATCTGCTTTGCTTATCATCTCACAATGGCATCTCTTTCTCCATGTAAGACATTATGGTTTATTGACTCCTGCCCAGTTCTTGGAATTTTGTGTTCTTGTCTCAGTTTTGGTGTAAAAAGATAATATTTTAATTCCTTTGGGTGACAAGAGTAAAATTTCTGCTTGGGAGTCTAGGTGAAAATGGATTATCTTAGACTGGGCAGAATTATGGAGATAATGACAGTTAATACGCTTTTTGTAATACAATTTAACAAACCTCTTTGTTCTCCCTGTATAGAAGCATTCTTTTTTAACCTTTCCTTGCCTGTGTCCTTAGGTATATGTAGGTATTCCCTATCTGTAAGTCCTTCAGAGCAACCAAATCAGATTTTTGTCAGTTGTTCCAAAGTATTCAGAAAACATACAGAGAGAGGGGTAAACAAAAGGAAACAAAAAGAAAAATTACCGCCTCTCATGTCAGTACCAGAAATTGTGTGGAGGACAGCAGATGTACAGGCACAGAAAGGCTTACTCTTTATTGTCCACAATTCATTTTGGAATGTTATTTAATGTCTTTCACAATGCAAGAATTTTTGACCTACATTCCAAATGGCACAAAAATATAAAACAGATGTCAAAACTAAAAATGAGAATTCCAGTAAAGTAAGTAGTTTAATATGCCTTCCAATTCACTAATATTTTCTTTTGTTGTATCTAATATGCTTCTCTCAAGTGCTCTTTATTGCAATAAGAAAAAAGTGATTGTTTTTTAAAAATGTATACCTTCATCAAAATATTTTTCTTGTGGACACAAAAAATAAAATGTAATGGAATACGATTTAACTTTTACAATACTTTTTACATTTAAATTAAATTTCTTCAGTATCCAGTATTAAATGCTTTTGCTTTCAATTACTACATGGCCATTTTTTCAATTAAAAATTAGTGTAAATTGATCCCTCAGCATTCCAGTACTAATATCAGCATACCTGCTCTACTTATATTATCTAGTGGATTGTGGTATCTCTGTCCAAAAGTAGGCAAGAGAGAAACTTGGAAAAGTAAGAACAATAGTATTTTTTTAATTGCTCAATTTATAATGGAATCTTGATATATCTCTGTAATCTCATTTTGAATGATCCAGCATTGGCCTTCAAATAACTCTTGGCACCAGATAATATTTAGCACAAAGCCAAAAAACATAATAAAATTTACATGAAAAAACAAAATCCCTTTGCCAATCATAGTATATGCATTTAAGTAGTTAATTTTCCTGAGATTAATTGCTTTTCCAAATAACTCACCTGTGTGTATTCAAGTAATGTTTCACTGGGGATAACTATAACTCACAAAATAGTACTAACAACTTCACCCTCAATGTCTTTGCTTTGCTTAAACAAACTATGCTATGCCTATTATTCTGGAACCACAATGCTGAACATGATCAAATGGAAGTGACACTTTGGTATCCAAGGAAGACATACTTACTTAAAGTACAGTTTGTGGCAGGCACTGAGCCAGGAATGGTGAAAGCCAATACAGCTAAGGCCATCTCTTCACTTAATTTTGCCTCAACACTGTGTGGCTGTTACCTATTCTCCACACCCAGCTTTCTCAGTGGCCTGAATAGGATTTGGATAGCCTGGAACCCTTCTGAAATGGCATGGCGTGTAACATTGCCTAGCCTTACATATAGTGTTCTATATTGCTAAAGTTCCAAAATTATAAAAGGTATGGTTCCTCTCAGTTTCAGAGGCATGCTAAATACCAAGAAATCCCACAGCTTATTATGCCTGCTACCTGCCAGCATCTGAGGATGTGCTAAATGACTGCCTTTAGTTACAATCAGTGTGTTCCCCAGAGGATTCTGGCCATCCAGCAGGGCACGCAGACAGCATATCTGTTTGTGTTTCAAGAAAAATGAATTGCTGAACATTCTATTGGGAAAATCATCCACATCTAAAGTCATTTAAGGCCTAAACAAACACAATGCCAACAAAAAAACTGGAAATTCCTACAACCTTCCAAACATTGACTGTAATTCTAGGTAAACTAATGAGTAATGACATTATTATATTGTAATATAATTATAATATAATATACTCCAGTTTGGACAAAACTCTAGAAGATGTGTCTCACCTAAAGTTTTAAGAATGATATATATTTATTTCTGAAGAATAGTTGAGTCTCAAAAATACAAGGATAGTAACCATATCTTTTGTTTCTATTTTCCTCTATCCAAATATAGAACTATTTTTTAATAAAAAAAATATGCACACCATGTTTGTGCTCAGTGTCTCGGAGAAACCACTCTTTTGGTCTAAGCATATGCTGTTAAGAATTTTGGGAAGACAGAAATGAAAATGGCTACCCAGGAGAAGGGTGCACAAGCAGGTATCTCCCAGATTAAAACAGATTGTTGTTATTATTACCTTTACAATTTTTATTCATGGATTACATTCTTGAAAATGTTAGATCTTATTTCATCTTCAAGAATACAAGCTCTTGAGAATTAAGCTTGTTTTATAGAGATCACTGGCCAGATTTCAATTCAGCAAAAATAACTTATATTTAGATACAGAACTTTTCAGTTTATTATATATATTCATGGACTTTATCATTTAATTTTCAAAGTAACTCCTTAAAATTTCTTATCTGCAGATGCAGAAAGTGGAATTAGAAAAATTATGTGTCCAGTGTTGCCACTACAGAATATAGTGCAGGAGTTACATCTACATTTTTTGGTTCTAGGATTTTCATTGATACATAGATGTAAAATAAAATTAAAATAATAGAAGTGAATTCTGACAAACATGATGAGATTGTTCATCTAGAAACAAGTCATTATTACTCGAATAAGGTGGCCATGAGATTTTCACAGCAAATGAATAAAAGAGAATGACTATTTATTGATTATGTTGTTTGAGTATTCATTTTGCTACTTGGTGAAGGTTTGAGTCTGTATCTAATATATTTGAAATGGAAAAACATCCCACATCCCCAAGTAAATAACATCTTTGAGCCCAAAGGGAAAAGTCAATATGTGAACAAGTCAACTAAGCAAAATATAATGAAGTAAAATTTTAAGCAAAATGGGGAATACCTAAACAAAATGATTCCATATTTCTATTTATCCATCCTTGAGGTTGAAGTTGACAATGGAATTATGGTCATCATCTTTTGAAGAGATAGTTTTACCTTCTCACATTCTGAATTTGAATGTGTTTAGAGGCCATGTGAAATTAGGCAATATGGGATTAAATGATAATTTCCTGCATTAAGCTTTACTGGAGTATGTTTCATAGCATTACAGAAAAAAAAAAGGTTATTTTGATGCACTTAAGGAAGATAGAATTCTTCATAAAATGAGATTAAATTTCTCTTTATTCAGAGAGGAAAGCTGATTCCACAGAGAAAAATGCAACTACAAACCATAGCCAGAGATACAGACTGTAAAGTTCAGGTTAAAGAGAAAGGATTTAAACATGGCCAACATTAAAATTTGCAAAGCCTATTGAGCTAGAATTATATTTTTTATTGAAGTTCTGCTAGTTCTAGTAAGAAAGACTCAGGGAAGTTCTGTTTATCTATCTTTGAACTATTCAGTGCTATTAGGTCAATAAGGCCCTTTGAATGGACAGTTCAGTCATATAACTCAGTTCTGTGTGGCTTGGACGGATGGTTTAGGTTTTCTCATACCAGGACCAGCAAAAAATAATAAGCCCTCATTACATAATGTGAATCACAGACTGACTCGCCACCTCCTGGCAAAGACACCATTTATTAAATTAAACTGCATTTTGCTGTAACAAGAAAATAACATATTCTTGAACTAGGAAGCCAATTAAGCCACACTCATTTTCAGTTTTCTCATTATAGTATCTTTGCAGAGACATTGGGTTCCATTTTATTTATGATAATGTGTTTATCATCTTCCAGGATCTATAATAACAGGTGGTTCTATGGTGAAAACTGGTGTGGAGGTTGGGATGACATTAAGAAATTAAAGATCTCAATAAATAGGAGATTAGGTCATGTTTATGGATTGGAAAGCCTTACATTATGAATTGCAGATTCTCTTAAAATTAATCCAGAAATTATATATGATATTAATCATGATTCTAACAGGGTGTGTGTATGTGTTTGTCTTGGTGAAATTGGCATGTTTTCAGAAAGTTACATAGAAATGCCATCAGGCCAAGATAATCTTGAAGAGCAAAGTGGAAGGAGTTGGATCAGGTATCAAGTTATTCTATACCTACAGCATTTAGTACTGGATAGTATTGGTACAGACAGAGAAAAATAGAAGAGGGGAATGGAATGCTGAGTCTAGAAGCAAATTCAGCCCTACACGGGCAGTAAGTGAAGTGTGACATTTGTCCTGAAGAGCAACAGGGAATAAAAAACTTTTCAATAAATTGTGATAGGGCAATTGAATATCCACATATCTAATAAACTGTGATTAGGCAATAGAAAAACAATTCTATTTGCTAGCTTATACTATTTATAAACTACTATAAAAATAAATGTGAGTGTAAAACAAAGCTTTTAGAAAATGATATGGAAGAATAACTTCATGACCTTGAAAGAATTTCTAGAACTTTTAGGGAAATTATTTCCAAACATAGTATAAACAATTTAACCATAAAGAAAATAACTACATTTGAGCAAATTCAAATTAAAACTTCCCTTTATTAAAACAACCAAGAGGGGCCAGGTGTGGTGGCTCACGCCTGTAATCCCAGCACTTTGGGAGGCTGAGGCGGGCAGATCATTTGAGGTCAGGAGTTCAAGACCAACCTAGCCAACATGGTGAAACCCCGTCTCTACTAAAAAGACAAAAAATTAGCTGTGTGTGGTGTCCTGCATCTGTAATTCCAGCTACTCGGGAGGCTGAGGCAGGAGAATCGCTGGAACCTGGGAGGCGGAGGTTGCAGTGAGCTGAGATCACGCCACTGCACTCCTGTCTGGGTGACAGAGCGAGACTCTGTCTTAAACAAACAAACAAACAAAAACCAAGAGGAGAGTGTAATGGCAAATCATCATGGAAGAAGATATCTGTACCACATTTAACAAATAGAGGGAACTGGTCTGGAATGGAAAGTGTATCTACAAACCAACAAAGAGAAGGCTGAAAACCTGATGGAAAATAAGCTTTAGGGTTGAAGATGGATGGTACAAAAGAAGAATTACATATGTACAATAAACTTGTGAGGAAGTGCTCCACTTTGTAAGAAGACAAGGAAATAAAAATTATGTTTAAAATAAGATATCACTCCTCATCCAGTATCATAGATAAATTGACAGTACGACATATCAGTGAAGATAGGAGGCAAAACAGAACCATCATATATACAGGTGGTTCTGTGAGTTAGTACCATTACTTTAAAAAAATTCAACTCTATGAACCAATGTTTATGCTTACAGCTATACTCCATAGAAATGTGTCTTCACATGTACCAAAAATAAAAAAATGTGTGTATCACCGATATTCCTAATATAAACAATAAAGGATATTAATAATAGATGGGATATATTATAATTAAGATACTTACAATAATGTTTTATATTATACTAATATAATTAATAGAAGAGACAAGTGGTATTATATTTGTATGATACAATACTACATAACAATAAAAATGCATACAATTGCTACATACTACAACATGGATGAATCCCAAACGTAAACATAATACTCAATGAAACATAATGTTCAATGAAAGGAGACAGACAAAAAAGAATACAATGTGTGTGATTCCACTTATACAGTGTTTTAAAATTAACAAAGATCAAAGTAAACTACAGTGTTAGAAGTAAGAGCAGAATTAGCTTAGAGGGAGGGGTAGGGATCCAAAGAGAACACAAAGTGGGGGCTTTTTCAAGTCCTTGCCATGTTCTAGTTCATGACTTAAGTGGCAGTTACACAACTATATTTTGTGACAATTAATTTAGCTATATTTTAGTTTATTGTACTTTTTGCTATGTGTTATATTTAATTTTTTTTGCTTTTAAAAACTTACTTCTGTAGGATTTGCAGAAATAAATATTTATAAAAGTCTCATTCTACTATATCTGATGACTATAATGTAATAGGTTTCTTTGTGCCTTATGAGTATGTTCTGTTCTGCACAAATAGATTCTCTTGCATTGTAGCAACTAGAATATGGCCACCTTGCCCTTAAGTCTTAGCTATAGCCTGGGCTAGAGAGAAGATGTTTGCAACCAGACCTTGAACCCTGTTGGAGTCCTAGTGGAGATAACTGATCTAACACTTTCCTGCAGGGAAAAGTGAGAACGTGGAGAGCAGCCTCCAAATAGACCAGCAAGCATTAGACTACACAGACACATAAACCACATCAATATCTAGAGCTCAGGGATGTGAAGATTTTCTTCCTTGTCCTCAAAAAAACAATGAAAGATCTAAAGGAGAATAAATGGAATTCTTACCTTTTGCCCCTGAGTCTGTAAATGTAATAAAACATTTGGGATTAAAAAGGCTTCAAGTGCCACAACCCAAAGAGGGAACTGCCCATAATTCCATCTGAATAGTAATGCACTTGTCTAAGAGCAAGCCTCTAGCAGGTGGTAGAGCCCATCAGTCTCACATGGAACCTAGGTTCTTCACCACAAAGGTCAGTGTCTGTCTTGCAACCAGAGACCTAAAATGCCTTATTGCACCAGAAACTGTAGAAGAAGTTGAGAATTTTATGCATGATAAAACTTAAATATATACCAGTGGCCCAGATGTATATGATCTTACTGACTGATTTATAATTTCAAATGAGCTAACTTGTATAAAAATGATAATACCAATAAAATTGATTTTAAGTTGTTTAGAGAAACAACATGAGTTTAGTATCTAATGTTGTTACTAAAAAAATTATCTAATAGTTTTGAATGTTTACTATATTCGAGGCATTATTTTGAGTGCTTTACAAGAATCAAATTTAAATTTTACCACAGTTCTGTGGGTAAAGTGCTATTATTTTCCCCGTTTTACAACAAGGGAACAGAACAGAAGCACTTAGATCTTGTTTAACTTGCAAATGTCTTGCTGCCTGTAAGTGTTAGAAGCATATTTCAATCTCAGCCCCAAAGTTAACTCTTACTTTTTTACCTTTTCTAGTTTGGTCTAGAAGAACAATCTCCAGACTTCAGAAGATAGCCAGTCAATAATAAAAAATAATTTTACAAAATTCGAAATGGATAAGGAAATTGCAAAGTCAGTCAAGTCATTTAAAAGAAGATAAGTTTCAGGCCGGGCATGGTGGCTCACTCCTGTAATCCCAGCACTTTGGGAGGCTGAGGCGGGCAGATCATGAGGTCAGGAGATCGAGACCATCCTGGCTAACACAGTGAAACCCCGTCTCTACTAAAAATACAAAAAAATTAGCTGGGCGTGGTGGTGGGCGCCTGTAGTCGCAGCTACTTGGGAGGCTGAGGCAGGAGAATGGTGTGAACCTGGGAGTCGGATCTTGCAGTGAGCCGAGATTGCACCACTGCACTCCAGCCTGGGTGACAGAGCAAGACTCTGTCTCAAAAAAATAAAAAATAAAAAATAAAAAAAGGTAAGTTTGCAGGTAAAAACATTGTCAACTAAACAAACAAGCAAACAAGTAAATAAATGCATAAATCTGAAGTTCCACTGGAATTAAATAAATTTCAGAACATAGTAGCCTCATTTTTGTTGTTGTCGTTGTTTTAATTATAAGGAAGATAGTTGCTAAAATGGGGATCAGGGTTGATGCCAGACAAAATTCTATAACAGATTGTAACAAAGGACTTTTGTGTAATTAACAATGAAAGTAGTGAGCTGAAGTAGGCTAAGTACCCTGTTCTGTTGCTCTGGTGATCTCAGTAAAATCCTACAGGCAGGGCCCTATGCATCAGAATTTAGGCAAGACAAAGCAACTCACTGTATTTTTTGGAATAGATAAGACAATGTAGGCTTGATGATAGATCATTAGGTGAATTGATATGATTAAAAGACTGTGCTCGAAGTTTAATTAAGAATCATTAACAATTGATAATTCTCACTTAAAGCTGTATGATTCCTTCTTTGTTGTATCTCAGTACCTAACAGTCACTCTATAAAGATTTGCTGGGTTTTGAATGAATATAAGGAAAATCCATGATGGCCCAACACAGGCTTCTTTGATGCCTTCAACAACATATATATTTGTAGCTTAGATGATGCAGTAGTAACGTGTCAGGCACAATTATGGATAAACAAAATGAAGGGGGTAAGTGCATGTGTTAGATGCTATCATAAAAATTTTCCTTTTCAGGGCTAGCTCACTTGATAAAGCTTTCTCTCCTTTACGGTATACATGCATATTCACTTGCAGTTTTCCTCTTCGAGGACTGGCCTTTTCTTACTTGTATTCCTCTGAACACACCACTAGTACCTGGGCAACATTTTGGTAATAGAGCCAAAGTGGCATATACTGTTCAAAGATTCAGTAAAACATCTCAACGTTAGGCAGTTCCCTGGTTTCTGTGTAAAAAACATACTGACTATAAAATTGCTTTTGGGATTTATGTCATTGCAGTTCTTTGTCCCCTTTTATTAAATTGGCTTACTTTCTCTGCACATCTCTGAGTACTCTTGGACTTCGTACTGTATCAAGTGTCACATTATATAATATTGTCACAGACATCCTGATCATTTTCTTATTTTCTAGCTTAAAGCTAAGGTGACTGGATAGCTGAAGTTCTGCACTACAACTGACACTCTGAAATAACATGAATGAAGACTTACCACTAGACATATGAGATATTTTGAGATTCAATAAATGAGAAAGGAATCGGTCTTTCACCTATAAAAAAGAGTATTTCATTTTCATGAAAAAAATGTTCATTGTGGATATTGAATAAAGCCTGAAACAGCCTTAATGTGTGTGTGTGAGTGCGTGCACACACACAGACACACACATTCAACCTGGAACTTACCAGAATTACATGACAATTGATCTGACAAAACGTGTTTCTGCTGACACTTTGATAAGTTTGAATGAAATTATCATTCTGTTGTCTTATTGCTTCATGTGAGCTCATACAAAATTTTTAATATTATATTCTCCCTTTCAAATCTGCATTCTCAAATCATCATGGAGGAAACCAAAAAAAGAACCATAATTCAGGGTTGATTTCTGGAGGAAAAAAAAAAGGTATACGCAGTTTCAAGTTATGAGGGTAAACATAACGTGACACATTTTAAAGTGTAGAATTGCAGTTTGCTCATTTGAATTAAAATTAAAAGAGGATTTGAGGCCTGAAAAGGCTGAGGAAGGGAGGTTGAAGATAATTCAGAGGTAGAAATAAAGGCATCCAACAGAGCTGTGTTCTTTAGCAAAAACTGTTCACTTCAAATATATATTTTAGCTCAAACTGCAAAGAACAAAGGTACATGAACAATATGTGTCTGTCTCAGAGAGAGTGCAAATAATCAACGCCAGTTATTTTACAGAAAATTTTGAAATTTACTAAGAGAAATGACACACAATTTACTAAGAATGACACATTCGTTTAAAATGGATTAATATCAGTTAACTCTGTTCCTTTGTGTTACAACTATCTTATTTTTTTCCTACAAGTGGAGATAACTTTTCCTTTTCATGTGACCATGAATGAAACAGTTCCCTAGAACTACAATCAGGAGTCTTCTGTTTTGCAAATATTACTGTAGTTACCATTGAACAAGCAGTGGCATGTTTATTGAGCTTTATATATATGTAATTGCACTGAATTTTCCTAAAAAGTAAATAGCTTTAGCCAGGCATGGTGGCTTATACCTGTAATCCCAGAACTTTGGGAGGATGAGGTGGGCAGATCATGAGGTCAGGTGTTCAAAACCAGCCTGGCCAACACAGTGAATCTCCATCTCTACTAAAAATACAAAAATTAGCCAGGCATGGTGGCTGACGCCTGCAGTCCAAGCTACTTGGCAGGCTGAGGCAGGAGAATCGCTTGAACCTGGAAGGCAAAGGTTGCAGTGAGCCAAGATCGCGCCACTGCACTCCAACCTGGATGACAGAGTGAGACTCCACCTCAAAAAAAAAAAAAAAAGTAAATAGCTTCATACAAATGTTTAAAGACTAAATTTCTAAATTTTTTTCATAATAAATGGATTAGCTCTTTAAAGAATGGTTATGTTTTCCACTGGCTACTGGTAGAATAATAACTATAACCCTTAGACCCAGCATGGTGGCTTGCACCTATAATCCCAGTATTTTTGGCGGCTGAGGTGGGAGGATGGATTGAGGCCATGAGATGGAGACCAGCCTGAGCAATAGAGCGAGATCCTCTCTCTGAAAAAGTTTCAAAAAATTAGCCAGGAATAGTGTTGTGCACCTATAGTCCCTGCTACTTGGGAGGCAGGAGGATCACTTGAGCCCAGGAGTTCAAGGTTGCAGTAATCTATGACCACTACTACACACACCAGCCTGAGCAATGGAACAAGGCCCTGTCTCAAAAAATAAAAATTAAAAAATCAAAAGAAATATAGTCCTTAGATTTTTATCCTAACATGTACCATAAAATTCTATATATGTATGTGTACATCATAAACACATTAACTGCATGTGTGAATATAAATCAATAATACATTTTTTATTTGGAAATAAAAAGCATATTTCCTAACCACACACTAATGTTTATAAAAATGTAGCGATTTTGCAGGAAACCTAAGATGCAGAGAAATTAACTATCTTGTTAAGTATCCTGTGTTCCAGTCACAGAGCATGAAGACAAAAAATAGAATTCATGAACCAATTCTAACCAGACAGAACATTTTATCCAGCTCATTTGTATTTTTATTTACAGTATGTTTCCTATTAAAAAATGTTCACAGTATAATTCTTTTTGGAATTCAAAAAAAGTCTGTAAACACACACACCAGTTCTACAACTTGATGTTTACGGGAAAATGTGTGTGTGAGTGTGTGTATAGAGAGAGAGAGAAAAAAAAAATTCTTCCTTTATCCCTTTGACTTTTATCTCTGGCTTTGCACTTTATGAAAATATTAAAGCTAGTACCCACTCATTCAAATGAGCCCATATGAAAGATAGTACTAGTAAGTATGTATAACTACCATTCAGAAGGAAAATAAGATATATTTTAAATGTCATTTATTTATCATTTACTGAGCATTATGAAATATACAAAGATAAATAAAACAGATTATGTCTCTGACAGCAAAGAAATTGCAATCTTTCTTGCAAGACAGAGTCATCGAACTGTAGAAATTCCTTCGTTTAGTCCTTTCACTTTAGAGACGAGGAAACTGCAAAACACAATTACAAGGAGGGCTGTGAAAGGTGGTAAGTGAAATTTACAAATACAATGATTCTATGAGGTAAATAGCAAGTGGAAGCCATTGTGTACGATCATCATAGTTGTGTCTTCATTAGGCTGAGTTGCCATTGACTAATGTGTCCTCGGGCTGGTGCCATTGCTTTTGCTATGAATGCACACACAACTTAGGTGTGTGAAATTTGCCTTCCCAAAAGCACACTTTCCGCTACCATTTTTAATAACCATAGCTCTACAGTGAATGAGACTACCATAATTTCGGTAAACACAATTCTTATTAAGTAAACTACACTTGGGGGAGATCTAATTAATTCATGAATACCACTTGATAAGTGAGAGGTTTGAATTTTAAATCATGCATTTATTTGCAATAGCTGTATCTATGTCTATTCTTTTATTTTGTTCTAAAATGTACCCAGAGTGGAAACACCTGCATTGCTGATCTGTAAGGAAAATGCCTCCTGGTGACAGTTCTCTGACTGCGTGAGCAATATACAAGCCCCTTCATCTCTGCACAGCATTGCGCATGATACACTGTGCACAGCACCAACTCATCGGCACTTGTTGACTGAATTACCATTCTCTAAAACTCAGTATAAAATAAGATACAAAAATATATTTTTAAATGTATTAAACATATTAAAAGTTAATTATAAGAACAATATCACTAGGTAATACAAATCTTCAAGAGGAAAAAGAAAACCTATCTCCTATTTTACCTGCCTTTGTCTTGGTGTTACCATTTCCTGAGTGCTTACTATGTTCCAGGCACCACGCTGCAATTTTTACATACATACCACTCTCAGTCCTCACAGCCACCCCTGTACCAACGAGAAAACTGAGGTTTAGAAAATATAATTAAATTATCTATCTGTCACATGGCCAGAGAATCTTTGGGTTGTTTCAAACCCAGATCACTGATACTTTAAAGACACAAAATTGTCTCTCCTGACATTTTGCTCACTTTTACTTGAGTTTAAGAATTGTGAATATTTTTGCAACCAAAGAGTTTAACTTGTAGTCCCTGTGGTACAACTGTTGTGAAAATAGCTATAAAAATAGACTTATTCCAGAACACTAAAAATCATAATACCAATATATTGTTATTTACATAATTATAGCATAGATGGGAACCCTGAGGTTATCTTCATATCTCTGTGAGAAAAGAAATGCTGTTTATGGCTGAGCTATTTTAAAATTACTATAGTTATGAATATGAATCATGCAGGTTTTAACTTTATGTGTCACACAAAGAAAGCAAAAAGGGTGAAGTTTTTTTTAATTCTCTTCACTTATCCTCACATTTTCTTTGGCATCCACTTTTAATGCAATTCAATATATGGGTTATTAAATTAGAGTAATAACTGTATAGTCAATATGTATACAAATTTTATTTTAATAAAGTACACCAATAATATTTGTGTAGCATTCATAGTAATTATTGTGTATTGGTGATAATATAATTCTTGCAAAATAGTAATTGCATGCTATTATATGTTTGTAATCATTGTTGAAACACTTGCTTATTGAACCAGAACACTATGATTCAAAGTTCTGAGAGAATAAATGACATGCCTTTTATATTTACCTGACTATTTCTAGTACCTATCGTATAACAGTACTCAAAGGCACTAGATTTGTATGTAATCCTTGAATGCAAGATTTTACACCAAAGCAATAACCATACATTCATTAAAAACACATCTCAATGTTTTAGCATGTGGTTATACAGTTTTAAAGAGCCATTCATTTGTAAGTACGAGATTATTTTACATAAAACCTGGCATTGTCTTTTGCAGGTAGCATCAGTTCAATTTCTTCTTTTGATTACAACATTGCAGTATACGTCAAAGGCCATCATATTCATCTTACATGTTTAGAGTAATGGGAATCATATGGGATTTAGAAACAGAAGTCTAAAGGACATAGACTATATTTGAATGCATTTATATCATGTTTCTTTAACAAATTCTAACTTTTCTTTACACACAATAATGCTAAAATAACTCAGTAAAAAACCTACTTTATAAAACTGCCTGGAAGAACTTCCCATCTTACCCAGACAGGAAGGAGTGTGGCCACTGAGGCTCCAATCTAACAGGTTCCCAAATGAAGGATGTGGTTCAGCGGAGGGTAATGAGGAGTAAACAGGAGACTTGACTGCATTTTTGCTTTTTGTTGTGTTTTGTATTTTTACTGTCATGTGAAATGAGAAAGCCACTGATTATTCTGGGTTTGTAGTGTTCTATATGTACAATTAAAATAATAATACTTGCCCTGCCTGCCTCCCAGGATGACTGCAGATTTCAAACATGATAATCAATGTGAGACTATTTCAAATCTAAAACACTCCAGAATTGAGGTTTTGACCAAGTGCTAATCAAGCAAGGAAGACGACCATCATTTCAGTATCATTAGAGTATTCCACATAACAAATTTCCAGATAACAGACCTTAAAGCTTGATGGAAAATGGGTCTCTAAAATGAATTACTGTTTATGGGTCCAGGTTTATTTCCCCATAATACAAATCTTAAATTTCCATGATAGCTAAAATCGTGACCAATCAGAAATTGTGCTAGCTTGGCATACAGGAGGTTTGATTTTTGTCTTTCTTAGCATCATGATATCAGATGGCTGCTCTGCTACCAACAGCATGCCTTTCACAGCGCTGATCTTCCAGATTGCTGTTCCTAATCTGCTTTTGTCTGAGATCAGCTCATCTGGATACTTAGAATCCTGTGTAGTTAATAGGTTTAAGTGTCTGAAGGCCTTTCTGAAAAGTCAAAAGAGTGTTTTGGATCAAAGATTTCATGCTGCGAAGCTTTCTGACTTCCATATGCAGGGATCTTTAGAGAAAGCCAGAATTCCAACCCAGAACAATTCTGAATTCTCTCTCTGTGTCTCCTTGACTTTCTGGCTTTCTCATATACAAGGATATTCATAACAATTCACACCACATGTTCATTTCATGTGTAGAAAACCTGATGCCTCTGTAATCTTTATTTCAGAGAAAAAGCAATGTTTGATCTTGGGTTGAAATGTGAAGGCTTCTGCCTCTCTTTCAAGTGTTAGCATAATAATGGCCTTAAAAATATGTATCTAAAAGCTTCTGAGACCTGGTTTATATAGTATTATGAAGAATACTATATATAGTATTCCTCATATATATATTTATATATAAATACTATATATAGTATATTTTTATGTATTTTATATAATATATAATTACATGTAACTATTACTATATTATATATTTACTATAATAATTACTATAATGTATAGTATGTTTATATATACTACATCGTATGATTATATATAAGTAAATATGTATATTAAATATATAATATAAAATAATATATATAATTATATATAGTATATTTATATATAATATAAATACTATATATGGTATTTATACATAATATAATACTATATATATAAATAGTATTATACATAATATAATATAAATACTATATATAGTATTTATATACTATTGTGAAATCTAGAGAGTGGCTAAGTGATTCCTACTGGTCACATAAAAGACCAAAGCAATACATGGACTGACAATTCCCAAATTTCATTTAGCAATTACTGAGAAGTTATACTCAATCTCCCTTTATTCATCTTCATTTGTCAAAAACATAAATTATAATAGATTTTAATATAAAAACAAAGTGAACTAAATGCATATAAAAAAGCAACACTTCTCCAAGAAGTAACTCTAAAAGTAGTCCCTGTGAACTTTCAAATCTTTCTTAAAGAAATGGGAACGTTGTCCAATCAGCCTGAGTTTTCTAGCAACAGTGAAATTCATAAAGGTCACCCTAACAGACAAACTAAAACAATATTCTTCTCACAGTCCTTGCTGTTAAGAGTAGCAGTCAAGCAGCATATTCATTTTCATTTTCATTATGTTTGTAAATAGTAGGAGAGGCAGGGAAGAAGCATGTGCAGGCCTCCTGCAGAGTCTCCGTGGGTGCCTGCAGCATTGCAACCATCACACTTGCAGGCTTCATTATTTTTCAGTAGAATTTTATTGACTGGGGGTAATATCTTATTTAAATTCTATTAGTTTTAAAAGTTGTTTAAGGAAACACATTCCTTGCCATAACGTCTTCCTACCTGATTATCAGTTCATTTATGCCATCCTGGCTAACATTTATTCTTAAGACACTGTAATCTTTGTGTAACCTTGATTGTTATCTACTTTGCTTACCAACTGACAATTAATCCCTGATATATTGCCCCTGGCTCAAAACTCCCACTGCTTAATGAAGCATTCAGCCACAGTCACCTTGTAACTATCTACACAAGAATCCATTGGCAAAGCAGAGGCTTCAAAATTAGCTCTGGCTTAAACACGCTGTAGAAATATAAATGTTTTTACTAACATATACCATGAAGGCTATGTCCATGTTTCAATTGATTACTCTATGTTTTCATAGAGAATATAAAAAGAAAATATTTCATTGAGAACATATAAAGAATATATATTTAAGATCTGACATTAAGGAACTTAGGTCTAGTGAGGAAGATGATATACATGTCTAATTACTGTTATACAAAGTAATGGTTGGGAAAACAATGTAAGAGAGCTACTCTTAAATTTGAAATAAGTGAGGTGCTCACTATAGGAGTCATGTCATGCTTGCTGCAGAGAGTAGAAGATCTGGGACTTAAAGAAACATATGGTTGAACTATATGAAAATGTAAAGCTGGGAACAGGAAATAGCTACAAACAAATTCAGAAAAGTTTACAAATTAATTTCATCTGAAAGATTCATCTAAATCGTAGTTTCTAGTAAGTTACTTAAGTGTTTAAAAAGTAGAAAATAATAAAGAATGTATTGGCGGCCGGGCGTGGTGGCTGACGCCTGTAATCCCAGCACTTTGGGAGGCCGAGGCGGGTGGATCACGAGGTTAGGAGACTGAGACCATGCTGGCTAACATGATGAAACCCCGTCTCTACTAAAAATACAAAAAATTAGCCGGGCATGGTGGTGGGTGCCTGTAGTCCCAGATACTCGGGAGGCTGAGGCAGGAGAATGGTATGAACCTGGGAGGCGGAGCTTGCAGTAAGCCCAGATCTCGCCACTGCACTCCAGCCTGGGCGACACAGCAAGACTCCGTCTCAAAAAAAAAAAAAAAAAAAAAAGTATTGGCTAAGAATAAATTTAAAATATAGATATATATTTTAAAACTTTTTGACTACTAGTGTAGTAAATTTCATCTTTACAATTGAGAAGTTGGCTGGGATCAGAGTCCTGGATGCCTATGACTGCACTGAAAAGTGGCATTGAGTATTTTGGTTTTCATCTTTTTTGCATGTATCCCCTAAGAATTTTCAGAACACAATTTACCAGTTATCTTGAAGAAGATACACTATGTGGTGTTGTTTTAGTCATTGCAAGCTGTGCTTCCCCTGTAGGGTTTATAACATATGTAGAAATAAAATATATGACAAAATAGCACAAAAGGCTGAAGGGATAAGAAAGTAAAGTTAAGTAGTAGAAAGTTTCTTGGATTGTTTGGGAAGTAATAAAAGTGCTATCTTAAAATAGGCTACAACAAATCAAGAAGGTACATTGAAAACAAATTTAACTACAAAATGAATAAACATGTGTAACTGAAAAGTCAATTTTAAAGAACAAAATCAATTATAAAAATAATTTAGTGCAATAAAAGCCAAGAAACGATAAATAAGAAATAAAAGAGCAGATGAAACAAGTAAAAAACAAATAGAAAGATGATAGACTTTAAACCAAACAAAACAGTAGATTTAAAAAATCGAAGTGAACCAAATAATTAAAAGGCAAAGATTGTCACACTAGTAAAAAAAAAAAAAATGCTGATTTTATTACACAGACAAACATCAGATATAAGAACATAAGACACATAAAAGTAAATGATGACAAAACATATACCAAGCAAACATTAAGCAAGGAAAATTACTATGTCAATACCAGTCAAAGCCGACTTTAAGGCAAAAATATTACAAGAATAAACTGGCCTCTTTACAACGATAAAAGGGGCAGTTTAACAAAAACATAAAGTAATCCTAAATGTGCATACAACAAATAATACATCTTCAAAATATAAAAGACAGAAGTGGAAAAAAGTAAATGTAAACTTAGACAAATGCATAATCATAGCTGAATAATTTACGATAACTTTCTAATTAGAAAAAACATATAAAATATCACTAATGACAGAATGTACAATTTGCCAATTTGGCTTAATTTGTCATCTTTGAAACTGTGCAAATAAGTGCATGACACACATTCTTTTAGATGGACATTTGAACATTTACCAAGGTAGATTATATTTTACACCATAAAGCAAATCTCAAAAATTCTGAATTATTAAAATCACGGAGAATATGTTCTCTGTTCACAAAATAAACCTGAAGTCAGTACTGCCAAGATAAATAAAAATGGCCAAATGTTAAATAATGTTTAGGCTTTTTAATGAAAAAGAAAATAAGGCTAAAAAACAACATTAAACTAACACTTTACAAAAGAAAATATTGAAATTACTAAGGTACACATTAGTTACCAGGGAAATGCACATTACAACTACAGCTAGATACAACTATACACCACAAAAATAACTAGTATTAAAAGAAAGCCCTCTCATGAAAACAACTACGATGACTCAATCATAAATTCAATATTTATGTTACACATACGGGTTGTCCACGTGAGCGTGCTCTTTGCAGTACAACCCTAATTAGACCTTAGGATGATGTGCTGTACAATCAAGAGTACCACGTAAAGTGCAGATCAGGGACTATAGCCCGAAGTTCTACTCAATGCCATTGGCTGTTAGCATGTTATCATCATAGTGGACAGATATAGCATGCCATCAGATGTGTTCATCTCCATGGTGTGCTCTTTTATTATTGAGCCAGATTGAATAACGATTATAGAAACAGATAAAACAATTTAGTCACATACTCAGTTTTTCAGTTGTCTACAATAACTGCCAGTGCAGAATAATAATGGAATAGTAATAACAACAACAAAATGCAACCATCACTTCTCAATAATAATTGCTAAAACAATGTTGACTTAACTTCACCGTGGTATGAGGACCACCGAAAACAACTCAGAATTGACTTAAGAGAAATTACTTTGACAAATATGTTGTTCGGGTGGAGCACAAATCTAGAAATATAAAGTTGGACACTTACTTTCACTTCGATGGTTATTTGACCACGCTCATCCAAGCAGTGAGTGCTGATGAAGCCAAATTGGCAATCTACTGAATGTTTATGAAATTTATAACTGCAAATAAAGAGCAGAGTGTCTGATTTATTCTCAAGGAAGGATGAAAGACTGGTTGGGCACAAATCGGTTGACCTCAGGATGTAGGTAGGGAATTAAGGAATAATTCCCTGTATTCCAATTACGAATATGAAATGGCAGCCCCTCAGATCATCCATGTCACCCCTGGACAGTAGGTAGTAACATGACTTTATAAGTTTGAAAATGTCACTCCCCGTTTGGCTATTTGACCAAGCTACAAATGGCCTTATCAATATTCTGCTCCAGAACTACACATTAGAAAATGCTGCAATTTGACATCAAATCGAGTGTCTGGAGAGAATTCTATTTAATGAGCTTCCAAGGAATAGTGGGGTAGACCTGGAGAGACGATTGTGGATGTCCTGGAGTTTTAGTTCCTTCCTCTTTTAGGATGTCAGCAAAGAGCTGGTTCAGCAAGTCTGAGTCAGTTCAATGAAAAAATACAGCTCTCCAGCATCAGCCTCTGCTTTCTAAGATACTTACTTGACCAGGAAGCTCTTGCCACACTGTCACCTAGATGTTGTCAGCCTCTCTTTTCCTCCTCCCTTGGGTCCTTTTTTTTTTGAGACAGGGTCTGGCTCTGTCGCCCAGGCTGAAGTGCAGTGGCGCTATCTCAGCTCACTGCAAGCTCCGCCTCCCGGGTTCTCGCCATTCTCCTGCCTCAGCCTCCCAAGTAGCTGGGACTACAGGCGCCCGCCAGTACGCCCGGCTAATTTTTTTGTATTTTTAGTAGAGACGGGGTTTCACCGTGTTAGCCAGGATGGTCTCGATCTCCTGACCTCGTGATCCGCCCGTCTCGGCATCCCAAAGTGCTGGGATTACAGGCGTGAGCCACCGCGACCGGCACCTTGGGTCCTTTTTATGTTGCTCTTAGTCCAGTTGTACTAACCCAAGCATAACTCTTTCTATGGGATAATAAGAGCCTAGGGAATTATTGCTCTGTATTTGAACATTTTCATTAATAAACTTATTTTATGTTAATACCATATTGTGCTAGTAGTATGTGTCTGTGAGTAAAGGTTACCCTGACTCGGAAGCTCTTCTCTTCCTTATGTTGCTGAAAAAATGAAAAGCCAGGAACTCTAATGGAATAATTCTCAAAACTACCTAGGATGTCAATTATCAAAGCCACCTATGACTGGCCTCCTATTACTAAATCTTGTGGACACTTTTCAGCTCCTCTTTGACTGGTCTCTCTGAGGTGTGTGGCACCATTTATCACTTTCTCCTTCTTAAAACCCACTTTTATGTCACTAATAGTATCTAATTCTCCTTTGACTTCCTTCCCATTTTTATGCTTACTTATTTTAAGTCCCCTTGCCTAGATTTTCGTCTTTCACTCACTCTTTGTATGTTAATGCTCTTCAGCTAACTGTGCAGCCACTCATTATATATACCTTCCCTAATCCTTTTTGCTTTTTTTTTTCACTCAACAACATAGCTTTTTTATTATTTTGTTTCATTATACATACATCTACAATATTATTTTTCATCTCTGTGGTATAGATGTTACATCATTTAATTAACCATTAGTGTAGCACTGAAAAACAGTTTTAATAGTCTTTTGCTATGTCAAATAATCCTGAACACCTCTCACACATTTGAATATATTTGTGGGATCATCCCCTAGAACTGGAATTAAAGAGAATGAACATTTTCTGTTGTTATGGATATTGTCACATTGTCCTTCAAGGGATGAAGTCAGTAGTCCCTTATAACAGTCTCATGAATGACCTCTGCCTCTGGCCATGGCTCCCCTAATCCTGTCTTCACATCGCTGCCAGTGTGATTGCTTACAACACAGATCTTACCCTGTCATCTTCCTGCTTCCCTCTCCAGCTCTCTATGGATTTTTGGATTACGTATCTACTACTTAACCACAGCAAGCGAGGAACCTTCATAAACAGACTCCTGCCTCCCTTTCCAGTCTCATCGCTTTCCAACTTGCTTCCTTTATTGCCTAATATGTTCTGTTCCAGCCTCTCATCATTCCCTGTTTACTGAGCTAACTCTTATCCTTCAAATCCTTCATTATTCACTTTTGTGTTTTCAGCATCTGGCACAATTCATGGAACATAAAAAAACAGTCCATAATATTTTCAACAAATGGGTGAGTCAAGATTAAATGTCCCAACTATGAATTATTATTAACATCTTGGTTACATGTCTTTCACACCAATAACACCTTATTTTAATCAATTTGTCTTCTATACTAGTTTAGGTGATAAGGATTATATCTAGCACAATGTCAAGTGTTTCCTGAATAAATAAATGTTTGAATGAAGTCAATTTCATCCTCATTTAAAGATAAGAACTCTTACGGTCGGGCGCGGTGGCTCACGCCTGTAATCCCAGCACTTTGGGAGGCCGAGGTGGGCGGATCACGAGGTCAGGAGATCGAGACCATCCTGGCTAACACGGTGAAACCCAGTCTGTACTAAAAATACAAAAAATTAGCCGGGCGTAGTGGCGGGCACCTGTAGTCCCAGCTACTTGGGAGGCTGAGGCAGGAGAATGGCGTGAACCCGGGAGGCGGAGCTTGCAGTGAGCCGAGATCGCGCCACTGCACTCCAGCCTGGGCGACAGAGCGAGACTCCGTCTCAAAAAAAAAAAAAAAGGTAAGAACTCTTGAGGTCGAATTTTCTTCTCCAAAGAGCCAGTTTATCAACACATCACTGTGTAGTGCTGGCATGGATGTAGAATAGCTCAAAATTTCATAAAATGCTGGTAATCACTTTAGAAAACTGTTTAGCAGTATCTCCCAAACATGAACATACGTGGTTCCACTACTAGGTATATATCCAACAGAAATGCATACATATACTCACAAAAAGACACAAACAATAATACTCTTAGCAGCACGATTCATAATAGACCCACACTGCAAAGAATTCACATGTCCAAAAATATAAAATGGATTTCTAAAAATGTTGGTATAGTCTTTCAATGAAATACTAAACAGAAGTGAAAAAGAATAAAACTAGAACTATACACCTTAATATAGATAAATCTACCAAATATAATTTGGGGTGAAAGACATCAAACACAGAAGTGTGCACACTCTACGTTCCCACTTACATAAAGGTGAACTAACCTATAGTCTTAGAAATCAGTTCCTGATTGAAAGGGACATGACAGGGGATCCTGGTGTGCTGGTAATGGTTTAATTTTTGATCTGGGTGCTGGTTACTTGGATGGATATATTTAGTAAAAATTCAAGTAGCTATATACTTAATTGTGCACTTCACTGTATGTTATAATTCAGTTAAAAACTTGATTCTTAAAAAGTAAAGAGCTGGACATCGGACATCGAGGGATAGGTATTTTGTGATTCTTTAAAGTTCGCAAACAAACAAAATGAATCTATGGTGAAAGAAGTCAGAATGGTGTTGATTTTATGGGAAGTATTGACTGGAAGTTGGGAGAAAGGGGCTTCTGGGTGGTGGAAGTAATTTATCTTGAACTTTGGTGGTTCCGTGAGTGTATATATTTGTAAAAAGTCATTGCATTGTAAAGTTAAGACTGTGCACTGTATTATTCTAACTTGAAACTCAATAAAAAGAAGTTGAATTACTGTGGGGAATAGATCTTAAAAAAATCCTGAAGTCTATGGATGTCATGTGTCTTTTCCAGTGACATAGCTAATCTAAGTGGCCTAGACACCATATGCACTAATTCTTATTTTAGAACTTTTTCTAGGAGATATGCAATACTTTTAAATGCACACTTTGATACTTTGAATGCACATTGTTTTCTCTGTCACAGTGTTGGATTTCTGTAGAAGGTATGGACTAAACTTTGGAAGCTTTTTTTCCCTCCAATCACAGCTTTGCTCTTTAATAAATATGGGACTCTGGGCCTATAGTATTCTTTTGCATCAGTTTCTTCATTTACTACATCTCTGCTTCATCTCCTCCACTGCTTCATCATGAAAGATAAAGTAAAAGGCGGAGGTGTCTCTTGAAAGTAGCAAAGTGTTGTGTTAAGTGACTTGTGATTATCAGTGTTCAACACAGTCATATGTACTAACTCCTTTATGCATAGATGTTTCTGATCACACAGGGCAGGCATCCAGAATCTGTTGAACCAAGGGATAATAAGTGCTGTTGCTGCAATCTTATTACATTTGTGCCCATAGGAATTTCTTTAAGTGTAAAGAATATGTGACATAGAAACTGAACAGTGAATGCAGAGACTTTGGGCTGACATATGTTTTAACCCAGCTCCCACAGAGGAGCCGCAGGAATATGATCATGTCTGAATTTCTCAATGGCTAATATGCATAAACTTATTATAGAGTTTGGGGAGTTTTATCACACATTATTCAATACCAGAAAACATTACACCCATAGTACCTGCAGATATAAGTCTTTCTCCAAAGTTGTGGAATTGAATCAAAGGTCGATATAGCCCATTTTCTAAGAATAGTCATGTGCTTAGAAGGGTAGTAATATCATTTCAAAACAGTTAATACATGTGATAACACATTATCAGCAGGACATTTGGAAAATTAGAATGCTTTAATGTAAACTTAAAATATAAGCTGAATTAATGAAAAATGAATTTGTAATGTATTAAAGTTTTATTCTAGTTCTTACTATCTACCTACTGCTTCCTCTGGGACACCTATCTGAACACATAGCTTTGAATACCTCCGTGATGTTAATGACACAGATTTAAAAAAAAAATCACTATGGGCTTTTTATTTCCCCTTACCTCTAGCTCTCCCATTTCTTTGAATTAAGATAATATCCAACTACCTGTTTGGTATCTCTGCTTGGATGGCTATTTAGACATCTCATAACAAAAGCATTAGAATTAATCTGTTAATCTCCACCCTCACCCAAGTCTATTCCTCTCTCATTCTATCCCTTCTCAGTAAATGGCAAAACCATCCAGACAATAGCTCAAGCAAAATATTTAAGATGCCAATTTGCTTATTTCTTTAATTCCCTGCTTTCATCTTATCAACCTGTTCTGTCAATACTTTCTCAAAATGGATCATAAATCTTCCAAGTCCTCTTCATTTCTACTGCCATAATCTTATTCCAAGCCATTATCATATCTCACCTGGACTATCATATTACTCAGTCAATCATCCTGCCCTCATATTACCCATTTTCCACAAAGCCATCAGATAATCTTTTTATTAAGTAATGTCTTTCCTTTCCTTAAAACCTGGCAATGACTTTTTAATGCATTTAAAATAAAATAAGACTCACTCCTTTCCATGGTCCACTGGCTGTGGTTGAACTGTCTCTAGCTCCCAAGGCTCTGTCTCTACTTAGGGAAATCTGATGTCTTCCTGTGTGTCTCATGGTAACAAATCAAATGTCAGCTAGAGAGGCCTTCCCTCCAAAACTTATCCACAGTAGCCTAGCCTCACTTGCATAACTCTGTCTCTCTCACAAACATTTGCTTTTGTTATTGCTACTATAATGCTCACCACAACTGGTAGTAATCTTATGGCTATATTTGTCGCCAGTGGTTGGTTTATCTACCTCTGCCATCAAATACTGTGCAATGAAAGTGGAGCCTATATTCTAGGTGCATAGGAAACATTCAATAAATATTGCTACAATGAGTAAATAAATGAACAGGCAAATAAAAATTCAGAGCATAGTGACTATGTGTTAATACGATTTGGAAAAAAATAGCAGTAATCCGAACATGCTGATGTTGAGGAGGCAAAATTGTACCTCTATCTCCTTAGCTTTCAGCTGGGCCTGAGAATACAAATTTAATGTAAGTCTCATGTGATATGAGAGCCTTCATGAGAACATGCAGTGGCACGATCATGGCTCATGGCTTACTGCAGCCTCGACCTCCTGGGCTCAAGCTATATCCTCTCACCTCAGCCTTCTCTGTAGCTGGGACTACAAGTGTACACCACTATGCCCAGCTAATTTAATTTTTTTTTTCTTTTCTTTCTTTCTTTCTTTCTTTCTTTCTTTTTTCTTTTAGAGATGGCGGTCTCGTTATGTTTCCAAGGCTGGTCTTGAACTCCTGGGCACAAGGGATTCTCCCACCTCCACCTCCCAAAGTGCCGAGATTACAGGCATGATCCATTGCACCTAGCGCTAAAAGTTTTTATAACAGGTTGAACAAAAAGAGGCAATTGTGTAACAGTAACTAAATTATGTGGGGAGGCTAAAACAAGATGAGAATTATTTTAACAAAGTATGTTTGCATAGAATTCTCTTGGCTATGACCACTTTTATGGGGGAAGGAGGTATCTTTAACAAGGGAGTTTTTAATCTGATTTTAGGAAGAAAAGGGAGGTTTAGAATGCCCTTTTTTGCATTGTCTATTTCCCAAATGTGTTTAGCTCAAAATAATCCTTAAAAATAATCCTAATGTCAAAGTGGCATATTATTGGGTGGTGTATTCTGTTACTGTTGAGTGAAGTATGACCATTGAAGATGGGATTTTTTCTTAAATGACATGTTGCACAGTCATAAAATAGATACAGAGCTGAAAAAATATCTGTCTAAAAAGGGTGTCTTCAATTGCTTAATTATAACAAATTGCTTTCTTCCTTTTCCCCACATTAAGGAATATTTAGTGTTGCACACAGTGCTCATTACTAAGCATTGATTTTCACTCATGTATCCTTATATATGGAATTAAAATGATGAGCTAAGAAAATAGTACAATATATAGGAATATTCTGAATAAATCAAACATCTGCCTGTATTCTCCTTAGAAACATGGCATATTTATTTACATATCATATTTTTAACAGTTTTGAAATTGGCCCAATTGGTCCATAGAACGATGTTTACTGTTTTTTGGATAAACATAAAAATTGACTCTCTTGGTTATTTTATTTATTTATTTATTTATTTATTTATTTATTTATTTATTTATTGAGACAGAATCTTGCTCTGTCATCCAGGCTGGAGTGCAATGGCATGATCTTGGTTCACTGAAACCTCCATCTCCTGGGTTCAAGTGACTCTCCTGTCTCAGCTTCCCGAGCATCTGGGACTACAGGTGTGTGCCACCATGCGAGCTAATTTTTGTGTTTTTAGTAGAGACGGGGTTTCACCATGTTGGCCAGGCTGATCTCAAACTCCTGACCTCAAGTGTTTCGCCTGCCACAGCCTCCCAAAGTGCTGGGATTACAGGCGTGAGCCACCGCGCTCGGCCTCTGTTTGTCTTAAAGCCTGAAACTTACATTTGTCTTATCTGAGTTTCTTCCTCAGGAAAACCATCATGCCTTCCAAATAGTATCAAGGAACTGAAACTCGCCAGATCACTGCATCCAGATAATGAGATGCCAGACTCTTCACGTGTCATAATTCCCAAACCAACCTCCTGCTTCCTGTTGACCAACTCCTCTTCCTTATCCCTCTCTAATTCCTGTTTTCCCACAGCTTAGTTACATTCCTTCTCTGCTATATAAACTCCTAATTGTAGGGCATCAGAGAGACGGATTTGAGGCTGATCTCCCATCTCCTCAGCAGTGGCACCCAATTAAAGCCTTCTTCCCTGGCAATACTCATTGTCTCAGTAATTGGCTTTCTATGCAGTGAGCAGCAGGACCTAAACCAAATCTCTGGCACTTCAGTAACAGTTTTAAGTTTATTATTGCCATGATGTTTTCACTATTTTTTTAAATTTTCTTTTATTATTATTACACTTTAAGTTTAGGGTACATGTGCACAACGTGCAGGTTAGTTACATATGTATACATGTTGCCATGTTGGTGTGCTGCACCCATTAACTCGTCATTTAACATTAGGTATATCTCCTAATGCTATCCCTTCCCCCTCCCCCAACCCCATAACAGTCCCCAGAGCGTGATGTTCCCCTTCCTGTGTCCATGTGTTCTCATTGTTCAATTCCTAGCTATGAGTGAGAACATGCGGTGTTTGGTTTTTTGTCCTTGCAATAGTTGGCTGAGAATGATGGTTTCCAGTTTCATCCATGTCCCTACAAAGGACATGAACTCATCATTTTTTATGGCTGCATGGTATTCCATGGTGTATATGTGCCACATTTTCTTAATCCAGTCTATCATTGTTGGGCATTTGGGTTGGTTCCAAGTCTTTGCTAGTGTGAATAGTGCCGCAATAAACATATGTGTGCATGTGTCTTTATAGCAGCATGATTTATAATCCTTTGGGTATATACCCAGTAATGGGATGGCTGGGTCAAATGGTATTTCTAGTTCTAGATCCCTGAGGAATCGCCACACTGACTTCCACAATGGTTGAATTAGTTTACAGTCCCACCAACAGTGTAAAAGTGTTCCTATTTCTCCACATCCTCTCCAGCACCTGTTGTTTCCTGACTTTTTAATGATCACCTTTCTAACTGGTGTGAGATGGTATCTTATTGTGGTTTTGATTTGCATTTCTCTGATGGCCAGTGATGATGAGCATTTTTTCATGTGTGTTTTGGCTGCATAAATGTCTTCTTTTGAGGAGTGTCTGTTCATATCCTTTGCCCACTTTTTGATGGGGTTGTTTGTTTTTTTCTTGTAAATTTGTTTGAGTTCATTGTAGATTCTGGATATTAGCCCTTTGTCAGATGAGTAGGTTGCAAAAATTTTCTCCCATTTTGTAGGTTGCGTGTTCACTCTGACGGTAGTTTCTTTTGCTGTGCAGAAGCTCTTTAGTTTAATTAGATCCCATTTGTCAATTTTGGCTTTTGTTGCCATTGCTTTTGGTGTTTTAGACATGAAGTCCTTGCCCATGCCTATGTCCTGAATGGTATTGCCTAGGTTTTCTTCTAGGGTTTTTATGGTTTTAGGTCTAACGTTTAAGTCTTTAATCCATCTTGAATTAATTTTTGTATAAGGTGTGAGGAAGGGATCCAGTTTCATCTTTCTACATATGTCTAGCCAGTTTTCCCAGCACCATTTATTAAATAGGGAATCCTTTCCCCATTGCTTGTTTTTGTCAGGTTTGTGAGAGATCAGATGGTTGTAGATATGCGGCATTATTTCTGAGGGCTCTGTTCTGTTCCATTGATCTATATCTCTGTTTTGGTACCAGTGCCATGCTGTTTTGGTTACTGTAGCCTTGTAGTATAGTTTGAAGTCAGGTAGCGGGATGCCTCCGGCTTTGTTCTTTTGGCTTAGGATTGTCTTGGCATTGTGGGCTCTTTTTTGGTTCCATATGAACTTTAAAGTAGTTTTTTCCAATTCTGTGAGGAAAGTCATTGGTAACTTGATGGGGATGGCATTGAATCTATAAATTACCTTGGGTAGTATGGCCATTTTCACCATATTGATTCTTCCTACCCATGAGCATGCAATGTTCTTCCATTTGTTTGTATCCTCTTTTATTTCATTGAGCAGTGGTTTGTAGTTCTCCTTGAAGAGGTCCTTCACATCCCTTGTAAGTTGGATTCCTAGGTATTTTATTCTCTTTGAAGCAATTGTGAATGGGAGTTCACTCATGATTTGGCTTTCTGTTTGTCTGTTATTGGTGTCTAAGAATGCTTGTGATTTTTGTACATTGATTTTGTATCCTGAGACTTTGCTGAAGTTGCTTATCAGCTTAAGGAGATTTTGAGCTGAGACAATGGGTTTTTCTAGATATACAATCATGTCATCTACAAACAGGGACAATTTGACTTCCTCTTTCCCTAATTGAATACCCTTTATTTCATTCTCCTGCCTAATTGCCCTGGCCAGAACTTCCAACACTATGTTGAATAGGAGCGGTGAGAGAGGTCATCCCTGTCTTGTGCCAGTTTTCAAAGGGAATGCTTCCAGTTTTTGCCCATTCAGTATGATATTGGCTGTGGGTTTGTCATAGATAGCTCTGAGCCCACCACAGCTCAAGGAGGCCTGCCTGCCTCTGTAGATTCCACCTCTGGGGGAGGGCAAAGACAAACGAAAAGACAGCAGTAACCTCTGCAGACTTAAATGTCCCTGTCTGACAACTTTGAAGAGAGTAGTGGTTCTCCCAGCACGCAGCTGGAGATCTGAGAACGGGCATACTGCCTCCTCAAGTGGGTCCCTGAACCCCGAGCAGCCTAACTGGGAGGCATCCCCCTGTAGGGGCAGACTGACACCTCACACGGCCGGGTACTCCTCTGAGACAAAACTTCCAGAGGAATGATCAGGCAGCAGCATTTGCGGGTCACCAAAATCCACTGTTCTACAGCCACCGCTGTTCTGCAGCCACCGCTGCTGACACCCAGGCAAACAGGGTCAGGAGTGGACCTCTAGCAAACTCCAACAGACCTGCAGCTGAGGGTCCTGTCTGTTAGAAGGAAAACTAACAAACAGAAAGGACATCCACACCAAAAACCCATCTGTACATCACCATCATCAAAGACCAAAAGTAGATAAAACCACAAAGATGGGGAAAAAACAGAGCAGAAAAACCGGAAACTCTAAAAAGCAGAGTGCCTCTCCTCCTCCAAAAGAACACAGCTCCTCACCAGCAACGGAACAAAGCTGGACGGAGAATGACTTTGACGAGTTGAGAGAAGAAGGCTCCAGATGATCAAACCACTCCAAGCTACAGGAGGAAATTCAAACCAATGGCAAAGAAGTTAGAAACTTTGAAAAATAATTAGACGAATGGATGACTAGAATAACTAATGCAGAGAAGTCCTTAAAGGAGCTGATGGAGCTGAAAGCCAAGGCTCGAGAACTATGTGAAAAATGCAGAAGCCTCAGGAGCCAATGAGATCAACTGGAAGAAAGGGTATCAGTGATGGAAGACGAAATGAATGAAATGAAGCAAGAAGGGAAGTTTAGAGAAAAAAGAATAAAAAGAAACGAACAAAGCCTCCAAGAAATATGAGACTATGTGAAAAGACCAAATCTACATCTGATTGGTGTACCTGAAAGTGACGGGGAGAATGGAACCAAGTTGGAAAACACTCTGCAGGATATTATCCAGGAGAACTCCCCCAATCTAGCAAGGCAGGCCAACATTCAGATTCAGGAAATACAGAGAACGCCACAAAGATACTCCTCGAGAAGAGCAACTCCAAAACACATAATTGTCAGATTCACCAAAGCTGAAATGAAGGAAAAAATGTTAAGGGCAGCCAGAGAGAAAGGTAGGGTTACCCACAAAGGGAAGCCCATCAGACTAACAGTGGATCTCTCAGCAGAAACTCTACAAGCCAGAAGAGAGTGGGGGCCAATATTCAACATTCTTAAAGAAAAGAATTTTCAACCCAGAATTTCATATCCAGCCAAACTAAGCTTAACAAGTGAAGGAGAAATAAAATACTTTACAGACAAGCAAATGCTGAGAGATTTTGTCACCACCAGGCCTGCCCTAAAAGAGCTCCTGAAGGAAGCACTAAACATGGAAAGGAACAACCGGTACCAGCCACTGCAAAAACATGCCAAAATGTAAAGACCATCAAGGCTAGGAAGAAACTGTATCAACTAACAAGCAAAATGACCAGCTAACATCATAATGACAGGATCAAATTCACACATAACAATATTAACTTTAAATGTAAATGGGCTAAATGCTCCAATTAAAAGACACAGACTGGCAAATTGGATAAAGAGTCAAGACCCATCAGTGTGCTGTATTCAGGAAACCCATCTCACGTGCAGAGACACACATAGGCTTAAAATAAAGGGATGGAGGAAGATCTACTAAGAAAATGGAAAACAAAAAAAGGCAGGGGTTGCAATCCTAGTCTCTGATAAAACAGACTTTAAACCAACAAAGATCAAAAGAGACAAAGAAGGCCATTACATAATGGTAAAGGGATCAGTTCAACAAGAAGAGCTAACTATCCTAAATATATATGCACCCAATACAGGAGCACCCAGATTCATAAAGCAAGTCCTTAGTGACCTACAAAGAGACTTAGACTCCAACACAATAATAATGGGAGACTTTAACACCCCACTGTCAACATTAGACAGATCAACGACACAGAAAGTTAATAAGGATATCCAGGAACTGAACTCAGCTCTGCACCAAGCAGACCTAATAGACATCTACAGAACTCTCCACCCCAAATCAACAGAATATACATTTTTTCCAGCACCACACCACACCTATTCCAAAATTGACCACATAGTTGGAAGTAAAGCACTCCTCAGCAAATGTAAAAGAACAGAAATGATAACAAACTGTCTCTCAGACCACAGTGCAATCAAACTAGAACTCAGGATTAAGAAACTCACTCAAAACTGCTCAACTACATGGAAACTTAACAACATGCTTCTGAATGACTACTGGGTACATAACGAAATGAAGGCAGAAATAAAGATGTTCTTTGAAACCAATGAGAACAAAGACACAACATACCAGAATCTCTGGGACACATTCAAAGCAGTGTGTAGAGGGAAATTTATAGCACTAAATGCCCACAAGAGAAAGCAGGAAAGATCCAAAATTGACACCCTAACATCACAATTAAAAGAACTAGAGAAGCAAGAGCAAACACATTCAAAAGCTAGCACAAAGCAAGAAATAACTAAAATCAGAGCAGAACTGAAGGAAACAGAGACACAAAATCTCTTCAAAAAATTAGTGAATCTAGGAGCTGGTTTTTTGAAAAGATCAACAAAATTGATAGACCGCTAGCAAGACTAATAAAGAAGAAAAGAGAGAAGAATCAAATAGATGCAATAAAAAATGATAAAGGGGATATCACCACCGATCCCACAGAAATACAAACGACCATCAGAGAATACTACAAACACCTCTACGCAAATAAACTAGAAAATCTAGAAGAAATGGATAAATTCCTCGACACATACACCCTCCCAAGACTAAACCAAGAAGAAGTTGAATCTCTGAATAGACCAATAACAGGCTCTGAAATTGTGGGAATAATCAATAGTCTACCAACCAAAAAAAGTCCAGGACCAGATGGATTCATAGCCAAATTCTACCAGAGGTACAAGGAGGAGCTGGTACCATTCCTTCTGAAACTATTCCAATCAATAGCAAAAGAGGGAATCCTTCCTAACTCATTTTATGAGGCCAGCATCATCCTGATACCAAAGCCTGGCAGAGACACAACCAAAAAAGAGAACTTTAGACCAATATCCTTGATGAACATTGATGCAAAAATCCTGAATAAAATACTGGCAAACCGAATCCAGCAGCACATCAAAAAGCTTATCCACCATGATCAAGTGGGCTTCATCCCTGGGATGCAAGGTTGGTTCAACATTCACAAATCAATAAATGTAATCCAGTATATAAACAGAACCAAAGACAAAAACCACATGATTATCTCAATAGATGCAGAAAAGGCCTTTGACAAAATTCAACAACCCTTCATGCTAAAAACTCTCAATAAATTAGGTATTGATGTTTTCACTATTTTTTTGCTTTTATTACTCCTCATTTTTTTTCTTCATTGAGGTACAACTGACAAATACAAACTGTGTTACTTAATGCAGACAATGTGGTGATTTATAGATGTATATACTGTGAAATGACTATCACAGTCTAACTAACTGACATATCTATAATCTCACATAGCTTGTGTGTATGTATGTGTGTATGTGTGAGGGGGGGGCAATCTACTCCTAGCAAATTTAAAGCATACAATACAGCATTGTTAACTCTAATCATGACATTGTACATTAGATCTCCAGAACTTATTCATGTTATAACTGAGGGTTTGTATCTTTTTGCCAATATCTCCCCATTCCCCATTCCCCACTCTTCCATCCCCGGGCCCTGGCAATCAGCAATCGACTCTCTACTTCTATTTCTATAAGTTCACCTTTTTTAGGTTCCACATATAAATTAAATCATGTGGTATTTGTCTCTCTGTGCCTGGCTTATTTCAGTTGGCAAAATACCCTCTGGGCTCATCCATGTTGTTGCAAATGGAAGGCAAAATTTCCCTCTTTTTTAAATACTGAATAGTTTTCCATTGTGTGTATCTAGCACATTTTCTTTACCATTTATTCCTTGATGAACCCTCAGGTTGATTCCTCATCTTGACTATTGGGAATAATGCTGCAAAAACAACATGGGAGTGCATGCTGTTTTCCATACTCGTTGTACCAAATTATATTTCCATGAACAGTGCGTATAAGAGGTCCCTTTTCTCCATATCCTCACCAACACTTGTAATCCTTTTTTTGTTTTTTTGTACAACAGATATCCCAACCAATGTGGCGATATATAATTGTGGTTTTGATCTGAATTTTTCTGATGATTATTGATGTTGAGCACCTTTTCATAAACGTGTTGGCTATTTTATGTTTTATTTTGTGAAATCTCTGCTCAGATCCTTTGCCAAGTTTTAATCACATTATTTGATTTTGCTGTTTAGTTGTATGTTATTTAAGTATTTTGGAAATTGAGAGTCCCTAGATATATGGTTTGCAAATGTTTTCTCCCCTTCCATAGGTTGCCCTTTCATTTTGTTGATTATTCTCTTTGATGTACAGAAGCTTTTAAAATTGGTATAGTACCCCTTGTTTTATTTTTTTTCATCTGTGCTCTTAGTGTCATATCAAAAAAAATTACCATCAAGACCAGTGCCAAAGAGTTTTCCTACCTATGATTTTTTTCTAGAAGATTTACATTTCTATGTAAGCCTTTAATCCATTTTGAGTTAACTTTTTTGTGTTCATAACTTATTTTGTAAAAAGATAATGTCAGATATCCATGCTATTAGCAAATTTTAAAATGTATCAAAGAAATAACTTAAAGTATAAGAAAAATAGGTCAGGCATGGTGGCTCACACCTGTAATCCCAGCACTTTGGAAAGCCTAGGCAAGAGGATCATGAGGTCAGGAGTTCAAAACCAACCTGACCAACATGGGGAAACCTTGCCTCTACTAAAAATACAAAAATTAGCTGAGGGTGGTGGCATGCACCTGTAATCCCAGCAACTTGGGAGGCTGAGGCAGGAGAATCGCTTGAACCTGGGAGGCGGAGGCTGCAGTTAGTCGAGATCACACCACTGCAATCCAGCCTGGTTGACAGAGTGGAGACTCCATCTCAAAAGAAAAATAATCAGGAAAAGAAATAGAAAAAAAGAGAAAGAAGAAAGATAAAGGGAAAAGAAAGAGGAGGACAAAGAGAACAAGAAAAGGAAGACAAAAAATAAGGAAAATAAGTAGTAGTGATGATGATGGGAGCTGGCTCAACAATCTAATAGAACATACCCAGAGATTCAATAGCACAGTGGTATGGCACTGTCAAAAGCATATTTAGAAGAATTATTGCCCGGGCGCAGTGGCTCACGCCTGTAATCCCAGCACTTTGGGAGGCTGAGGTGGGAAGATCACCTGAGGTCAGGAGTTCGAGACAAGCCTGGCTAACATGGTGAAACCCCACTTCTACTAAAAGTACAAAAATTAGCCAGGCATGGTGGCACATGCCTGTAGTCCCAGATACTTGGGAGGCTGAGGCAGAAGAATCGCTTGAACCTGGGAGGTGGAGGTTGCAGTGAGCCGAGATTGCGCCATTGCTCTCCAGCCTGGGCGACAGAGCAAGACTCCATCTCAAAACAAAAAAAGAAAAAAAAAGAAGCATCATTAAAAACTATCACATTTTGAAACATATATTAATATTAAATTTCAACACAGTTGAGTTGCAATTTAAATAGTGTGTTAAAGAGTTATACTCAGACAATACCATCAATATTTAGGAGAAACTCTTAGATATTTATCTGATACTATGTACCACAATTAAATCTAGAAAAATGGATGGATTAAATGTACAACATAAAAAAAAACTTTAAAATAGGAAAAAATACATGAGGAATATAATTTTGCTTTTGGAATGAGAAAAGATTTTCTATGTATACAAGAAATCAAGAATGTAATTAAACAAAGGACACATTTCTAAAACTAAGAAACACTGTTAACAAAATAAAAGGCAAATAAATTTAAAATATGTGTTCTACAAATACAGCAAATGAAAGTTAATATCATTACTAGGGATAATTCATTCAAATGAATTATAAAAAGTATAATGGTCCCAAAGAATACATAGTTACAGCAACAGAAAATTTAGAAAATGAACAATTATAACTAATACACATTTTAAAAATATTGAATTCCATTAGGAGTTACAGAAATGCAAATGAAAACAATAAAAATTAAAAATAATAATGTTGGCAAGCATGTGACAGAAATGGAGCTCTCTAATATGGCCAGATAAATTGTATAAACTTTAGTTGAAATTACATGCTAATAAATATTAAGAAACTTTTAAAAAGCATCCTCTTTATTCCACTGATGATTTTGTATATGAAAATGTTTACAAAATTAACAATAATATATAAATATTGCTGATGGTTAAATTATGAAATGCTCTTCTACCAGGGTGTTACATAGCCATGGAAATGATGTATTTAAAAGCATTTATAATTTTAGAAACTTTATGATCATTAGTAAAAGCATATGAGTTCATAAGTATAAATCTAACTTAATTTTCAAAAATCTGAACAAAAAGCTAGACAAAGACTGGGAAAAATAATTTTTTTAATTTAATATGTTTTAAAATTATAGGTCATTTTAATATTCTAATGATTTTTACAGTTTTAAGTTCTTCTAACTGAGTATATTTTACTTTTATAATACTAAAAATACAAATTTTTTAAAGTATAAAAATGATCAAGATAAATATGTAATATGGTTTAACTGTGTCACCACCCAAATCTTATCTTGAATTGTAGCTCCCATAATTCCCATGTGTTGTGGGAGGGAACCAGTGGGAGATAATTGAATCATGGGGCAGTTTTCTCTTTACTGTTCTCATGGTAGTGAATAAGTCTCACCAGATCTGATGGTTTTATAAAGGGAAACCCCTTTCACTTGGTTCTCTCTCATTCACTCTTGTCTGCCACCATGTAAGACACGGCTTTCACCTTCTGCCATGATTATGAGGCCTCCCCAGCCACGTAGAACTGTGAGTCCATTAAACTTCTTTTTCTTTATAAATTACTCAGTCTCAGGTATATCTTTATCAGTAGCGTGAGTATGCTAATACAATATGGAAAAGCAAATAAGTGTTACTTTAACATATAGGAAATAGTGTTTATTCAAATATTTAACTTCAAGTATTTATAACATATTTTGGAGTCATTTTGTGTATAATCAGATTGCAATATTTTGTTGTTAAACTCTCAGTAGTAAACAGTACACTTCTGCACAGGTGCATTCTTTATTTGCTTTTTTCCCCTTTTAAAAAATATCAGTGTCAGTTTTTAAGTGAATCAGGCCTTTTATGACTTACATCATAGTTCAGCTCATGATCAATGCATGAATGCATTTCATCAACTTCAAATATCTACTTAAGGTAACTAAACTTTTGACTAGAAGAGTCAGTGAGGTATTAGACTCCTGATAAGTTTTGATTGATGCAGTAAGAATAAACAATGAATAAACATGCCTAAGTTGCAAGGAAATATTTTGAAGCAAACATATCCTACACATAAACATGATACAGACTGAATACATACACCTGTCTCAATCTCTGTCTGCACATCTTTTGTTTAATATTCAGAATAAAATATTTTACTACGAAGCAATTTGTTACTTGTATGGTCTATATTCTTCCTAATTTTCTGAAATACAACAAAATACCTCCAAGTCTCTTGATAAAACCATGTCCCATAAAAACTGACAATGAATCTCTTTTCTGACCATTTACTGCTCCCATTATACACTTTTGATTGTATAAGAGAAGTTTATTCCTATTTCTATGCTTTTTCTGCACTAAGTCTAAAGGGAAATGTTAAAGTAAGTTGTTCTGTATTAATAATTTAGTGAATTATTCAACTCACTGATGTCAGGCTGCTAAATGACCTGAAAATGAACTTTTCTGGTAACATATTGCTGAGCTTAAAAAACACCACTGGCTTTCACGTGTCCGTATGAGGAATTTACCTTTTAGTTGTCTAATTATTTCTATTTAGAAGTTCAGGAAGAAATTGAAGAATATGAAGAAAATTGCTGGTTTCTAGTAAGTACATCCAATTCTATCATGTGCCAATAGATAGTAAAAAATAGCATTCCTCCCATATGGAAACCTACTTTACAAATTAAATGTATTTGATGTTTAAATCAAATATTCTAAGAATGATAACCCAATGGACTTATTCAGTTTAAATATGCATTCCTGAGAAAACTTCATGATAATTATATTAGGAAAAACAGATCAATTTATCAAGAAGTGTGAAAATCCCACACAATGGCAACAGCTCAAGCACGGATGTACTGAATGGAACTCCATAACGATGAAGTGATTATTTTGACATGCTCAGCTGTTTAATATCATGCCTGACTGCCCCTTTCTGGTTGCTGATTTTCCTTTGTAGGATATGACAGGCCTAAATGAATTTGAACCCTTGTGAATTAATACCCTCTCATTCATTTACTTTGGCTAAAATCCCTTACACTCTTAGCAAATGTGTCCTTTTCTTCTTTAAATGAATCTGAAGATATGTACAATTACATGGGAGGCTCTGAACTCCTCATAACTATACAGAGAGAAAAACTGGGTAAATGATGGTGTAAGAAGAAATAGAAATGTTATAAATATCTAATCATTCATTGATTGATATCATGGTACAGCAGATAAATGAGCAATTTAAAGTTAAAACACTTCTCCAAATGAGCACTCCTTTATACCTGACTTCACAACCAAAATGCCTTCTGGAGCTGAGCAAGTTACATTTCTGAAGGAATAGCTAACAATTATTGAGTACTTATGAGTTAGGTAATATTCTAGGTGCTTTTTTATATTATTATACTTTAAGTTCTGGGTACATGTGTACAACGTGCACGTTTTTTACACATGTATACATTTGCCATGTTGGTGTGCTGCACCCATTAACTCCTCATTTACATTAGGTATATCTCCTAATGCTATCTCTCCCCCCTCCCCCCACCCCATGACAGGCCCCAGTGTGTGATGTTCCCCACCCTGTGTCTAAGTGTTCTCATTGTTCAATTCCCACCTACGAGTGAGAATATGCAGTGTTTGGTTTTCTGTCTTTGCAATAGTTGGCTCAGAATGATGGTTTCCAGCTTCATCCATGTCCCTACAAAGGACATGAAATCATCCTTTTTTATGGCTGCATAGTATTCCATGGTGTATATGTGCCACATTTTCTTAATACAGTCTATCACTGATGGACATTTCGGTTGGTTCCAAGTCTTTGCTATTGTGAATAGTGCCGCAATAAACACACATGTGCATGTGTCTTCATAGCAGCATGATTTATAATCCTTTGGGTATATACCCAGTAATGGGATGGCTGGGTCAAATTGAGAGGTGAAGCTGGCTGGGCTTTTGGGTGGGATGGGGATTTGGAGAACTTTTCTGTCTAGCTAAAGGATTATAAATGCACCAATCAGCGCTCTATGTCTAGCTAAAGGTTTGTAAACACACCAATCAGTGCTCTGTGTCTAGCTAATCGGGTAGGGGACTTGGAGAACATTTCTGTTTAGCTAAAGGATTGTAAATACACCAATCAGCACTTTGTGTCTAGCTAAAGATTTATAAATGCACCAATCAGCACTCTGTCAAAACAGACCAATCAGCACTCTGTAAAACAGACCAATCAGCACTCTGTATAATGGACCAATCAACTCCCTGTAAAATGGACCAATCAGCAGGATGTGGGTGGGACCAAATAAGGGAATAAAAGCAGGCCACGGAGCCCACACCAGCAACCTGCTGGGGTCTCTTTCCACCCTTTGGAGGCTTTGTTCTTTCACTGTTTGCAAGAAATCTTGCTGCTGCTCACTCTTTGGGTCTGCACTGCCTTTGTGAGCTGTAACACTCACTGTGAAGGTCTGCAGCTTCAATCCTGAAGTCAGTGAGACCATGAACCCACCAGAAGGAAGAAACTCTGGAGACCTCTGAACATCAGAAGGAAAAAACTCTGGACACACCATCTTTAAGAACTGTAACACCGCGAGAGTCCATGGCTTCATTCTTGAAGTCGGCGAGACCAAGAACCCACCAATTCCAAACACAAAATGGTATTTCTAATTTTAGATCCCTGAGGAATCCCCACACTGTCTTCCACAATGGTTGAACTAGTTTACAGTCCCACCAACAGTGTAAAAGCATTAACTTGTTTATCATCACATCTTGTACGAAGAAAGTGTTCTATGATTGATGCTTCTTCCATTTAATTTCATTTTGGACCACAGGTGCAGTGGTATGAGCTCAAAATACCCCATCAGATTGTGGCATATCAATATTATTATCTGTGTTTTATTTATTTATCCCTATTCTTATACCCCCACTGCCATTACTTCCCACCTCTCCCAATCAGTTAATAATTTTAATCATTATCTTTTTGTCTCTGTTCCTGCAAACTGTGCATTTTGTACATTAAGCTTCATGCCTGTTGCACTTAATTTATTGTGTCTAACTGCTGTAAAGTATTCCATAATGTGTCTCTGCTACATATGACCAATCTACACTTCCAACAATAGATACCAAGGTTGTTCAGGCCTTCCAAAACAAATGTTTCCATTTTGACTTTATGTGTTCTCTTTGTTACAAATGTTCACTAAATGTGCTGCTACACATTCCCTTATGTACACATAGGGAACTTCTGTAAGAGAACATGTAGAAATATGTGCAAATTTTTGAAAATTTGGGGGAAATACGTATACACAGAAGGGTAAAATTGGATTCAAAACCTGTGGATATACTTACCTAAACTTTGTCACCTTGCTTTCCATATAGTTTCTGCAAACCCTGTGCTCCCAGCAGCAGGGAATTAGGATTCCTATTCCTTCATATTGCTTCATTCCTAAGCACTACTCAGCTCTATAATTTTGGACTTTATACCTGTACCTAATAGGTACAAAATTATGCAATTCCCTGTTTGAAGATGAGAAGTCAGAGGTACAGAAATATTAAGTAACTGCCCAAAGACACATAGTAACCAGTAGAAACAGGATTCAAACTCAAGTGGGCTGACCCCAGAGCCCACACTTAGTCACTATTCTATACTTCCACCCAGAAGGCAGAAATAATAAGGCACATGGAATAGTGACAAACTAGAGAACATAGGTACTGCCTTCTGGCATTTAAATATATCAAAAAAATGAAAACAATAACTGAGGAATATAGGAAACAAAACACACCAGTAGGCTAAATTGGCCTGAAGGCCACTATTATATGACCTCTACCATATATAATAATTTTGTTACCAGCAGAATCATTTCTCAACCTGCTTTCAGTAGGTATAACTAATGGTTAATAGAGAACTCCCACTGTGATGCAAAACTCCACCTCATTTTTTTTCACAATATGATATGTCTATTAAGCATAGGTTATAGCTACAACTACTGAGAGTCCATTTTATTTGCCATGGATGAGTCATAATGGAAATTTCAAAATGTGTGTTTGAAGGTATGGGTGAGAATATATAGGTACATTAAACTAATACTAAGACTGTGCAACAACCCTCCCCAAAATTTTTAGCAATTAAGTCTATTAGATAAATGCCAAAAATGTATAAAAACATTCTAATTTTTATTGGCCATCTACTCCAGAGCTCACACAGACCACACTAAAAGGAAATTAATTTCTATGTTGTGACTATCTTTAAGTCAGGAAATATTTATTTCTCTAGGTATTTAAATACAAAGTAGTTGAAGAAGAGAATAGATATTGAGAAAAAACTTTGGGATTTCTCCAATAAAATTCTGTATTCATGGCAAAAGGATGTTAATTTCAGTTTCAAAAGAAGTCTTATCATTTTGGCATTTTCTAACACTGCCATGCCACCCAGGAGCTCTTCAGCACACTTCAGCCTGTTTTCAACCCCCACTACTCCATAGAAAACACTCTTAGGAAAATTGCCAACGACCTTCTAGCTATGAAATTTAATAAACACTTCTTAATCTTTGTCTAAATTTAACTGTCAAATGAATTTAACCATATGAAGAACATCCTCCATAGTTTTCAAAGGTAATCTCTTTTATGAATCAGTTGCTACTTTTACTTTGTCTTTGATATAAAAATGTTTCTGACATGTAGATATAGAAAAAGTTACAGATTTATACATTTTCCCAAAATGAGAAGTTAACTTCTGACCAGATCCAGAAATAGCATATAACTTGCATATCAGAGGAACCCACGTCTCCCTCCTCATCAATCACAAACTCCCTTCTCTTAATATTGGATCCTTTGAACTTCTGTGGGACCATAGATAATGCCTCTGTGTTTTACTTATTTGGCTCAGTATTACGCTAGTGAGATCCACCTACGATGCATGACACAATAGTTATCTTTACTTATTGCCGTATCATATGCATGAACATAATTTATGAATATTCCATAATTTGTCCATTCAACTTTTGAGGACATATGAGTTTGTTTTCTGCTGTGTTATTATGAATAACAATCCTTTGTTTATTCCTAACTCCTGCAAACATTCCTTTGTTACACATGTGCATTTCTGTTAGAATTGGAATTCTAACAGAATTCCACATGAAATCATAAGTTTACACGTATTTACACTCTTAATGCCAGTGTATGAGTGTTCCAATTACTCCACATACTATGACAGTTGGTATTGTCAGTCACCTGGGGCATCAATCAAGTGACTGTAAATGTGTCTAGTCAGGGCTCTATTCAGTTCCATCATTCTATTTGTCTATCCTTTCACTAATCACAATATCTTTTTAAATTGCTACATAATATTTGTATATATATATACAAGGTACATGTGACACTTTATTACATGCATAGAATGTGTAATGATTAAGTCAGAGTATTTAGAGTTTCCATTACCCTGAGTATTTACTTGTTTAGTTACTTCAGTTTCTTTATATTCTGGACATTAGCCACTTGTCAGATCAATAGTTGGCAAATATTTTCTTTTCATTTCAACAGTTTGCCTCGTCACTCTGTTCATTGTTTCCTTTTCTATGGAGAAGTTTTTTTTTAAGTTTAATATAGCTCCATTTGTCTATTTTTCTTTTTGTTGCCAGTGCTTTTGAGGTCTCAACCATAAAATCTTTGCCTAGACTCATATCCTGGAGTGTTTCCCTTATGTTTTCTTCTAGAAGTTTTATAGTGTCAGGTCTTTATCTTAAATTGATTTTTGTATATGTGAAACACAGGAGTCTATTTTCATTCTCTTTATATGGATATCCAATTTTCCCAGCACCACTTTTTGAAGAGGGTGTCTTTTCCCCAGTGTATGTTCTTGACACCTCTATCAAAAATACATAAATGTGTAGCTGTACATATGTAGATTTATTTCTGGGCTCATCATTCTGTTCCATTTATCCACGTCTCTTTTTATATACATACCATGTTGTTTTACTATAGCCTTGTAATATATTTTGAAATCAAGTTGTGTGACGCCTCCAGCTTTATTGTTTTTGCCTAGGATTATTTTGAGTATTTGGACTCTTTTTGGTTCCACAAATTTTAGAGTTGTTTTTCTATTTCTATGTAAAATGAAATTGGTCTTTTTATAGAGGTGGCATTGTATCTATAGATTGCTTTGGCTAAGACAGTCATTTTAATAATATTGATTGGAAAGCAAGGGATGTCTTTCCATTTGTTCATGTTTAGTTTCCTTTATCAGTGTTTTGTGGTTTTATCTGTTAAGGTCTTTCACCTTCTTGGTTAAATTTATTACTAAGTATTTTATTTTTTTGTAGCCATTGTAAGTGAGATTGTTTTCTTGATTTCTTTCAGTTAGTTCATTATTGATACATAGGTATGCCACTGATTTTTGCATATTTATTTTGTATCCTGAAACTTTACTGAATTCATTTATCAGCTGTAAAGAGTATTTTGGTGAAGTTTTTAGTTTTTTTTTTTTAGAATAAGATCATATTATCAGTAAAGAGGGACACTTTGACTTCCTCTTTTCCAATTTGGATAAATTTATTTCTTTTTCTTGCCTGATTTCTCTGGCTAGGATTTTCAGTACTATGTTGAATAGCAGTGTTAAAAGTCTTGTCCAGTTCTTAGAGGAAAGGCTTTCGGCTTTTCCTCATTCAGTATGATGCTGGTTTTGGGTTTGCCTTTATAATGTTGAAGTATATTCCTTCTATGCCTAGTTAAAAACTTGCTTAAAGTTTTTATCATAAAGAGATGTTGAATTTTATCAAGTGCTTTTCCTGCATCTGGCTTTTGTCCCTAATTCTGTTGATATGATGCATGACGTTTGCTGGTTTGCAAGTGTTGAACCATCCTTGCATCCCTGGGAAAATCCCACTCAATCATGATATCTTACGATATATTATTACATATTACAATATGAAATCTTATGTTATATTATTTGAAATCACGGTATATTATCCTTTTGATGTGCTATGGAATTTAGTTTGCTAGTATTTTTTTGAGAAATTTTGTGTCTATGTTCATCAGGGATATTGGCCTGTAGTTTTTCTTTTTGTTGTGTCCTAAGCTGGTTTTGGTATCAGGCTAGTGCTGGCCTTATAAAATTAGTTAAGGAGAATTCCTTCCTCCTCATGTTTTTGGAACAGTTTGAGGAGAACTAGTATTAGTTCTTCTTTGATAGTTTGGTAGAATTTGGCAGTGAAGTCATTCAGTCCTGGACTTTTCTTTGTTAGGAGGCTTCTTACTCCTGACTGAGTCTCATCACTCATTATTAGTCTGTTCAGATTTTCTATTTGTCATTCAGTGTTAATAGTTTGTATGTATAATTTATCCATTTCTTCTAGGTTTTCCTGTTTGTGAGTATATAGTTGTTCATAATAATCTCTGATGATCTTTGTATTTCTGTGGTATCAGCTGAAGTGTTTCCCATTTCATTTTTGATTTTGTTTATTTGTGTCTTTTTTTTATTGGTTAATCTTCCTAGTGGGTTATCAATTTAGTTTATTTTTTCAAAAAAACAACTTTCTGTTTCATCATTGATGTGTGTGTGTGTGTGTGTGTGTGTGTGTGTGTGTGTGTGTGTGTTGTCTCCATTCTGTTTGGTTCTGCTCGGATCTTTGTTATTCCTTTCCTTCTAGCAATTTGGGGTTTTGTTTGTTCTTGATTTTCCAGTTACTCAAGGTGCATTATTAGATTATTTATTTGAAATCTTACTGGTTTTTCTGATGTAGGTGTGGATTACTATCAGCTTCCCTCTTAGCACAGTTTTTGCTGTATTCCATAGATTTGAGTATGTTGTGTTTAGGTTTTCATTTGTTTCAAGAAACTTTGTTATTTCCTCCTTAATTTCTTCCTTGACCCAGTTGTAATTCAGGAGCATGTTGTTTAATTTCCATGTATTTGTACAGTTTCCTGAGTTCCTCTTGTTATGGATTTCTAATGTTATTTCATTATGTTGTGAAAAGATACTGTAGGATTTTGATTTTTAAAATTGTTTTTGTTGAGATTTCTTTCATGTCCTAACATATGACCTATCCTGGAGAATGTTCCATGTGCCAATGAGAAGAATGAGTATTCTGTAGCTGTTCAATGAAATGTAAATGTCTGTTAGGTCCATGAAGTTTAAAATGCAATTTAAGTCCAATGTTTCTTTGCTAATTTTCTGTCTAGATGATCTGTCTAATGCTGAGAATGGAGTGCAGAAGTCCCCAACTATTATTGTAGTGGAGTCTCCCTCCCTTTGCACTAATAATATACTTTAAATATCTGGGTGCTCTGACCTTGGGCGCACATATGTTTAGAATTATTATATCCTCTTGCTGAGTTGATCCCTTTATCATTATATAATGACCTTTTTTTTTTTCTTTTTACAGTTTTTGACTTAACATCTGTTTTATCTAACATAGGTATAGCTACCTCTGCTAGTTTTTTGGTCTATGTTTGCATGGAGTATCTGTTTCCCCCACTTTACTTTCAGTCTATATGTGTCTTTAGGGGTGAGATGAGTTTCTTGTAGGCAGTATATGGTTGAATCATGCTTTCTTTAAAAAAAAAATCAACCAGTCTATATCATTTAAGTGGGCAGTTCAATATGTTTATATTCAAGGTTATTATCAATATGTGAGTGCTCATTTTTGTCATTTATTAATTGATTTTTGGTTGTTTTGTTTATCTTTTGTTCATTTCTTTCTCTTATTTTTTATCATTGTGCTTTGGTAATCTTCTGTAGTGGTAATTTTTGAGTTTTTTCTTTTCCTTTTTTCGTAATGTTTGCTCTAACCGGGGGTTTAAATTTTCATGTGTTTTTATGATGGTAGATATCATCCTCCTGCTTCCAGGTGTGGGACTCCCTTAAATATTTCTTATAGGGCTAGTCTAGTGGTGAAAAATCCACTCAGCTTTTGTATGTCTGGGGAAGACTTTGTTTCTCCTTTATTTATAAAGGATAACTTTGCTGTATCCTTGGCTGATAGTTTTTTCTTTCATCACTTTGCATATATCATCCCATTCTCTCCTGACCTGTAAGGTTTCTGCTGAGAAATCTGCTGATTGTTCCTTTATAAGTGACTAAGTGCTTTTCTCTTGCTATTTTTACAATCCCTCTTTGTATTTGATTTTTGAAATTTGCCATAGAGAAGACCTTTTTGAATTGTATGTATTTGGGGATCTCCGAGCTTCCTGTATCTGGATATCTAAATCTCGAGCTGATTTGGGAAATTTTCAGCTATTATTTCATTAAATAGGTTTTCTATTCCTTTCCCTTTGTCTTCACCTCCTGGGATACCTAAAATGTGAATATTTGGTTGCTTTATGGTGTTCCACATGTCATATAGGGTTTGTTCACTTAAAAACGTTTTTACAAAATCTTTTTCTGAGTTATTTCAAAAGACTTGTCTTCAAGTTCTCAAATTCTTTCTTCCGCTTGATATAGTTTATTGTTGAAAGTTTCAAATGTACTTTTTAAATTTAATTCAATGAATTCCTCAGTCCCAGAATTTCCATTTTTTTACTATGATATGTACCTCTTTGGTAAATTTCTCATTTATATCCTCAATTGTTTTTCTGGTTTCTTTGTAATGTCTTTCTCTGTTCTCTTGCATCTCACTGTGCTTATTTAATATCATTATTTTGAATTATTTTTCTTGGTTTTCAAAAATTTATTTTTGCTTGCAACCTGTTCCTGAAAGATTATTGTGTCCCTTTGGAGGTGTTGAATTTCCTTGCTTTTTCATGTTTCTTGTGTCCTTACTTTGATATCTTCACATCTCTTTTACAAGCCCCTTCTTCCTATTTTTAAAATTTGCTTTCACAGGGAAGGACTTTTTCCTGATAATGTATCTCTGGTGTTATTAATAATTGGATAGGGTACTTTGGCTTTGATTCTGGGTGTGCACATTAGTGTAGTTTCCATATGATTTCTTCAGCTGTAAACAGGGTAGTATTGTCTCTGATTTCCTTAGTGCCTTGCAGTCATTAGAGGAAGCTGTGGTAAAGTCTTGCTGGAGATAGGGATGCCAGGTAGGTCAGTCTCCAGGCCCCAGTGGTGGAAACAGTGGGCCTAGCATGCCTTTCCTTGGGATCCAGGATGGTGTATACAGTTTTAGTGGGCACAGGCAGGCCATTTCTGGCGGCTTTCTTGGGTGCTACAGTGACAGCTGTGGGCCAGGCAGGTAGTGGATCCTCAAGCTTCTAGGCAGTATGACATGGCATTAGCAATGGCAGCAGCAGTGGCAGGAAAACCCTGTGCCTCCCAAGAGGTCCTTATTGGTGTTGATGGGAGCTGCAATGGGCTGGGCAGGCCAGTCCCCAGGCCCATAAGTAATGCATGCTGGTGGGTGCCAGCTGTGATGACAATGGCAGGTTGGGTGGGCCCAACCTCCTGCTCCTGGAAAAAGCACTCAGGAGCCAATAGTTGTGCACAAGGCTGGGCAAGATCCATGCCACCAGGTGGCATGCTTGAGTATTGGGGTGGGGGGGAGAAAACTGAACTGGGTGGGCCTGTCTTCAGGCTCCCCAGTGCTGCATACAGGTGGTGGCTGTGGTAGGCACTGGGGAGGTGATTCTCAAGCCCCTGGTGAAATGTTCTGGTTGGAGCAGCAGTGGCTGGGGAGGGTGGTTGGCTTTCAGTGGCAGCAGATGTACTGTAGGCAGGCAGCTGGAGAGTGTGTACTTCAGCCATAGGTGGCAGCTGCAGGCTGCATAGGCTGTCCTCAGGGTGCTTGTAAACTGCTCATGCTTTGACCCTGCTGGTAGTAACCAGCTGCAACTGTCACTGCAGGCAGGTGATATCAATGGGGCTCCAGAGTTGTAGCGATGTGTTTAGCCACAGGACAGGATACAGTCTGTTGGGGACTGAGATCTCAAATGGCACCATGCTGCAGCTGCTTAAAATTCAGGGAGAGTGTGGAATGCAGCACAAGCTATTATGCTCCTCTGGAGGAATGCTGTTGTACAGTCTCTCAGAAGCTCCCTGTGTTAGTCTTAGGGCCCATGAGGGTTGAGGGGCTTTCCCATGGCTAGGAGTGGGAATGGGACCACTGGGGGTCTCCCACTTACCCTTTCCCTAAGTTGGGGTGCCTCTGTGGGCTCCCAACAAATCCCAGGTGGCTAACCAGGCTGCCTTGCTTCCCTCTTCTTCCTTGATTTGGGTGTTTCCTGTCATTTCTCTGTTTTATTCCAGCATTTTCTCTTACATCGTCTATTCAAAGTGTGATTATCTACTTGCTATTTTGCTTCTTCGTTGTCCAGGAGATGTGTACCAGGTTAATCTAGTCAGCCATCTTCCACAATATAACATTTAATACCGCTTTATAATAAGTATTACTATGCAGAAGCATAATGTCTTCTAACTTTGTACTTCTTAAAATTTGAGTGTTCTTGGCTATTTGCGTTCCTCCAATTGATTTAGAATCTGCTTGCCAATTTAAATACATAAACACACATAGATTAAATTTTACTGGAATTTTACTGAATATCCAGATTAATTTTTGGAGAATAAACAATATTACAATATTGAGTTTTCTAGTCCAGGGACATGATCTATTCCTGCATTTATTCAGATCTCATTTAATTCCTCTCAATGTCATATAGTCTCATGCTATACATCTTGTATATCTTCAGTTAGATTAATTCCTAATTATCTGATATTTTAATGGCATTTTAATGGTATATTTTAAAATATTTTCAAAAGTATGTTGTTGGAAATGAGGAATATGATTTTATGAAATTAAGCTTATATCCAATAGTCTTGCTAAAATCAGTTATTAATTATAATCATGATTAGCTTTGGAAATTTTAGGGATTTTACAGATACACAATTGCATCATTTGTCAGTAAGAGTGATTTTATTTCTCTTTAATCCTTACATTTTTGGGTTTTTTAGATATCAGTCTTATTTTATTGAGTATCTACTACAGTAATTATGGAACAGAATTAGTACTTAAAGTATGTTTTTTGCATTTCAAATATCAAGAGAAATCTTTTAATTATTTACATTTAATTACAGCCTTTGGAGTTTGTTCATGGATTTTCTTTTTAGAAACTTATCATGTTAAGGGATTTCCCCTTAGTAGTAGTGTCTAATTTTTATACGTGGAAGTTAAATTTTATCAAATATTGTTATGTTTCTACTGAGTTGCTTATGCATATACATTTTCTCCTCTACTTTGCTTATTTGTATTTATTTTGATGCCTATACGAATTGTTATTTGAATATCAAACCAAGCTTGCATCTCTGGAATAAAACAATATTGGTCTGTATGTGTTATTATTTCAATATATCACCGATTCCTGTTACACATATTTTGTTTAGGATCTGAAGTAATTATTCATAGAGAAAATGGGCTGTTATTTTTCTTTCTTGCAATCTCTTTAACATTCTTTAATTTAAATTATATGCTGGCTTTATAAAATATGTTGGGACTAGCCATCCCTTTTTCTTATCTTTAGCATACTTGGTATGAGAACGATGTCATGCCTTCCTAAAATGGTTGCAAAACCTTACTAGTGAAGCCTTATGGAATTGTATCTTTTTAAGATTTAAAGATTTTAAATCACAGAATAAATTACTATAACAAATATAGAACCATTCATAATTTTTTGTCAACATAAGAAAGTTTTTTTTCCTAAAAATTTCTTGATGTGTATGTAATTGTTCATGCATGTTGGCATAGAGTTATTCTTTATATCTTTGCCATTGTCCAAATGTCTGTGTTCTCCCAAAACTCATATTGTAAAATCCAAACCACCAAGCGGTTGATATTAAGAGGTGTGGTATTTGGGAGGTGATTAGGCCATGAGGGCAGAGCTCTTATAATTGTGGTTAGTGCCCTTATGAAAGAGGTCCAGTGTACTAGCTAGGCCCTTTGGCCATGAGAAGGCACAGCAAGAAGGGCCCATTTATAAACCAAGAAATGGAACATTTCCAGATTTAGTATCTGTCAGCACATTGATCTTGGACCTCCCTAGCCTCCAGAACTATTAGAAATTAAGTTATTTTGTTTATAAGCTAACCAATCTATTGTATTTTATTATAGCAGCCCGAATGAACTAGGGCAATCCTATTATAATTACATTCTATTATTAGCAATGTACCCTTTTTTTATTCTTTACAAGTTAATTGGTGTCTTCTATCATTTTTCCCTTGATTGATTTTAGAAGAGATTTACCAATTTTATTTTGTAATTTGGTTTGTACATACTCGGTAGCTACTACAATTTCAGCTTTATCCTCAGAGGGGTGACATAGAGTCCAACCCACAGCAAGAATCAGTTTAAATTTCTAAACTCTCCTGGCAAGGAATTCTTGGAAATATAGTTCTCAGGCTTACCAAGAAGCAATTTCAAAAATAACTCCTAACTTCAAATTCCCAGATTTCTAAATATTCATCAGGTCCAGCTCAAAAACATCAAACTCAACATATCTGCAAAATTAGCCAATGACCTTACCCCAAGTGTGCTTGCTAGCTTGTTTCCTTTCTCTGTTGATAAAACTATGCCATGTAAGCCATAAATCTTGACATCAACTTCGAGCATTTAATTTTCCTCATCCCATTTGCAATTAGTGGCAAAGTTTTAAGATTATATTACTTTTAAAAGTCTCTAATATTCATTTTTATTGTCCTCTCCAGGACACCAAGTTATCTTTTTGTTGAATTAAGCCAATAATTGTCTAATTATCTGCTTTAAATCCCACTGATCCAATTTATCCTCTAAATTCTGACATTTAGAGGATGAATTTGAAAATACAAAACAGAGTAATACATCATCAAAATTTCTCCATTTCCCAAAGGAAAGAGTCCAATACATCCAGCATGGCATTCACAGTTTCAGTTTAGCCAACCTCTCTATTTCCATATATTTATCTAATGTATCTTTTTGTTCAGGGATTATCAAACTACGTATTTTTTTTCTTGAATGTGCCTGAAATAATAGGCCTCTCCTTTGCTTTTGAACCTGTAGACCTGGAAAAAATTCTCTTCTGTATTTGTTAAAACCTATTCCTACACTTCTCAAGCATATACTCTCATTGGGGGATCCTTATTGCTTCATTCCCAGAGATTCTTTTTGGTAACTCAAGGTTTCTGGTTTGTTTATATATCTCTGCAAACATACTGCTTATTACACTATATTATTGATATTTGTATTTATCTGCCAATATGGATTTGTGAGAGCAGGGCCATGTTCTGAAGAACTTTTGATTTGATATGCAAAGCACAGGCTTTGGAAGCAGACAGATTCAGGATCACACTCTGGCTTTGAGGTTTAATTGCAGGGTAAACAGGTACATTACTTAACATCACTGAGCCTGCATTTGTTTTTCTTTTTAATCTTTGAAGTGGTGCTAACATCTAATGAATATTTGTTGTGAAGAATAGAAGAAATCTATCTAAAGTAACCACTGCAGTGCCTGGAGCACAAGTATGCACAAATACATACACACACACACACACACAGAGAGAGAGAGAGAGAAAGAGAGATCACCCAAAATGGTAACATGACAAGACTGATTTCTGTATTCATAATACCTAGCAGAACATATACCAAATAAGAGACATTCAAAAGTCGTTACTGTTTTCAGTTAATTGCCTACATTATACTTAAAATTATTCAAATCAAATAATTCAGTTAGTCATCATTTTAATGAGGCTCTCTTCTTCAAGAAAAACAGCTTTACCCATTTACTTATTTTCAAGCACTTATAATTTCATAAGAGAAAGATTTTATGTGGAAAACTTTCTTGTTGGAAGTAGTAAATATGTTGTATAGACTTCTAATTAGACAAACGAAATGTTGATTTGATGAGACATGGCTCAGTGCACTGAGCAACATACATTTTTTAGACCAAAACGGAATTACTTTTCTACCATTACAACTAATTTTGATGTTTTCCTTTCTTCTACCTTGGAGACACACCTCTAATTTTATTCCTTAATTCTACTGTAGTCAACCATATGGTCTCTGTATGAAAACAGTCCTAACATTTGTAAAAATGTGACCAGTAGGCAGAAAACTAATATCTGAAAGCATCTTCTGTTTTCTGTAATAAATGCTTTAAAAATGTCACCAAAATTCTATTTAGGTATTCAGAAGGTGTGTCTCTTCTGACACAACTTTCAGCAATGCTGAAATTAAGTAAACTGACTGAGCTAAACGAATTAAAAGTATGAATGTACTTTAACACTGAAGACTTGTTTGCATTTTCCATTTAGAATTCACAATCAAGAGAGTTAACGAACAGTTCTTTCTGCTTTCTCTCTCTCTTTCTGTATATACATAATACATATATTCACACACACATGCATATATATACACACACAATGTTTGTCAATTTTAGTAATTCTCGAATTTTATGTATTCATGGTTTATTTATAACATCTCTGATAGAAAACAGAGATCAATACAGGGTTGAATAAAATGATCTTTTAGATAATTTATAATTATTAAAATTGTTGCATGTTTATTGAACTTGGTTAATTCATTCTTCAGTAAATATTTAATAAGCTTTTAGTACAGGCCAGGCATGCTAAATGGGCAAAACAGATAATTCAATCACTCTCAAGGAGCTCTTAAACTAGCTGTAGAGTGATACACAGAAATTTTATAAAACAATGTGATCAGTACACACCCTAAAACAGTGTGTCAGCAGTTTTTTCCATTGGAGGAGTAGTAATAGCAGTAGAAATAGTATTAGGTGTGGTGGGCAGCAGAGGGAATGAGGACTCTGTAGCCATAGTCCCTGGGTTCAAATTCTCTCTCTGCTATTTACTGGTATGCGATCTTGAGCTAGTTTCTAAACCTCTTTGTGCCCCAATGTCAATTTCTTACAATAGGGATGATAATAGCTACCATTAAATGAGTTATTACACATAGAGTTTACTTAGAAGAGCTATTGGCATATAGCAAATACTAAAAACATTCACTAGCATCAACAGTAGAAAGCGCAGAGTATACAGCACATGGTAGATACTGACACTGCGCTGAGTCTCTTACAAACATCATCTCATTTTACTCTCATGAAACACAGGAATTTGGTATTTTTATTCTAACTTTAAGGAAGAGAAAACTGAACCTCAAAAATATTAGGGATATGTCCAAGGTCACACAATGAGTAATTTGTAGATCTGAAATTCAGACAGATCTCTCATTCTGAGCCAAGTGCTTAGACAGCACAGAAGGTAGAGTAATAAAAGTTCCCTGTGGATTTGTGGGATGCTTATTGAAGGTAGCTCATTTGGTGTAGAAACCAAAACACAAATGTGCATTAGTGGAGGGTGGGGCTGGGAGGGAGGAGGAGGGAGGGGAGCAGAGAATTTCATCCCAGGCTGAAGGAAGAGAATGCTAAAGATGCTAATTCATGAAAAAAAAAAAAAAAAAAACTTGGCAGTTTTAGTAAAATTCAGGGAAAAATTCTGCTATTGGTGTGAGGAGAAATAAGGTTAGAGCATGAATGGTGTGGTGGCAAATCATAAAAGAGGTATAGTGAAAATTTACAGAATCTGCTGACCCTGCTGTCAACAAAATTAATGGGGCCCAACTCTGTACCTGCCATGACCAAGTTTTAAATTTTTCTGTAGATAGGCTGTTCCCTCCAAAGCTTAATTAAGCATTTATATATTTTTAATTGATGCCACTAGACCTCAGCATGCGGTCTAAACAAAGGCTCTTCTCCTAGTTCAGTCCATTTTCCATGATATCAAATTCTCCAAAGGGTGAAGCCAAGAGGTTCCTGTTAGCTAAAGACAAAGTGAAAGGCTGACAATGACATGCAAATGTAGTAGAGCAAATACACATTTATAGTAGAATAATACAAGAATTTTTTTCCTTTCTACCATGCAAAATAATATAATGCTTACAATGCAGGTACATTAATTTTATATTAAAAATATCCTTAGGTTGACCTCTGATTTTTTGCTTTTGTACCTGCAGTAAGCCTTAAGGCATTTGGCATTCCCATTTTCACAAACCTAATTTAGTAGATTAAATGGCTATGCTAAGCATTTCACTTGCTTTCTATTATTCTTTGGCTATAGACCATCAAATAATGGGAGTGTTATTAATTTTATCCATGTTAACTTCTCCTACCACATACTCTAGCAAGCTATACCTTTAGCATCCTTTAAGGATGCTATAGAAAGGTATCTCCTGAACCATAAAACTTATCTCATTATTTTCTTTTTGCTGTATGTAGGTTTTTGAAGTAGATTTTATAGTTTAGAATTGTTGCTTTCCTTTTTTAATCTTTCACTGTTCATTTCTATAGAGTTATGAATTAACTATCTTTACTGTAGTGGTAAAACCATTTGTAATATTCATAGTTTGATTGAGTGTACATACATAAGCAAAACCCCTAGGTTAAACTGGGAAGTGACATCAGCCTCTTTTTATTTTTTCATTTGAATTCTGAAAACACATGGAGATGACTGTCCTTCGTTTTTACCTTAAATAGGTGGTTACAACTGAAGGCAATAGGGCAGTGAGTTAGCACAAAACAAATGGGCAGCAACACACAAAGAACATTTCAAAGATAAAACATCAGTATTTAGAAGGTTGCTTCCATATGTGCCATGAGTTATGTATGAGTATCAAGGAGAGAAGATAGTAACGACTACCTGGTAATCATCTGTGCTCTTATGGAGCTAAGTACCATCTGGTGCACTTTCTTAATATCTCCCTCTCAGACACCTTAGTAAGCTGTACCACTGACATACCATATGTCTCTCTTGATGGTAATAAATGCACAAAAGAAAAAACAAAAACATGACTGACATGTACACTAACAAAGCATACTAAAATTGCATTTGTGCCATTGCATGGCTAATTTACTTTGACTCTGCAGCATTACAGTTTGCCTTGTATTTAACATATGCTAGAAATCCAATATAACCCAGTTTGTTACAAAATGGATTGAAGTACTTATCACATGTGCCAAAATCTAGCCATCAGAGAGAAATTATAAAGTTGAATAAATGGTTGTATTATTAAAATTGCATTTGTTTTGTCCTCAACACATATTTTATGAACTCATGGGGTATTTTTAAACATCATTTAAAAAGTGACCTATGTTTAACAAATAACTTAGTTGATTGATTTTTCTGTTTAAAAAAAAGCTCAACATGACTAAAACATTCACCTCAAATTCTTTCCCAGATTAGACCGTAGGTTCCATAAGAGAGAATTCATTGATGTATCCCCAGCCCAAAACAGTGCCTAGAAAGTAGTACACATTCAATGAATATTAATTGAATGAATGAATGAATGAATGAATATCTATGCTCGTCCTCAATATCAATTTCTTTTTCAAATTTCACTTTTGCTTGTTGTACATTATTAGACTAAAATTAGTAACGTAATGAATAAGCATTATAAGTATATTTATTTATTTATTATTATTATTATTTATTTTTTTTTTTTTTTTGAGACAGAGTCTCCCTCTGTCGCCCAGGCTGGAATGCAGTGGTGCGATCGCGGCTCACTGCAAGCTCCACCTCCCAGATTCACGCCATTCTCCCACCTCAGCCTCCCGAGTAGCTGGGACTACAGGCGCCCGCCACCACACCTGGCAATTTTTTTGTATTTTTAGTAGAGACGGGGTTTCACCGTGTTAGCCAGGATGGTCACGTGACATTGGTAACCACTGCACACAGAAGAACCCTTTAGTATTAAAATGTAGACTTGAGCAAGGTCAGGATGGTCTCAATCTCCCGACCTCGTGATCCACCCGCCTCGGCCTCCCAAAGTGCTATCAACTCAATCATTCTTTCATTAACTCAACAACTACTACATGCCTATTATGGTCCAAGTACTGTGCTCTGGGTTGCTGTTGCTGCAGGGGTTGGGGGGACGGGAAACTCTGCTCCTTCCCGTCCCAACTTCCAACTAGCAAAATGTAATTGCAGAATTGGAAGCAAAATAAATAGTGACAGAAATCTACTAAATAATTTTAACTTTAATTCTTCAAAAGACTGAATGTGTCTTCTATGCCACTGTTTCCTCAGTCGTGCTCTCAACTGCTCTACTAGCACATTAGGCAGCAAGAATTATATGAGCTTGTCAATCAAAGGCTGATGAAATTAAGATTAAAATGTCATGCTTCTTTGATTGGTGTTTCTTCTACAATGGGGTGGTGAAACAAAATTAAGAATACTTGAGTAGGAATAAATTATGAAGTCGAAAACTGGAGACCAAAATTAAACTTAATTAATTAATAACAATATACTGGTTGTACATAAGTTGTAACCCAGAAGAATTCCTGACCCAGAAAGGGAGAAATTACTCAAAAGTTAGCAGGAGGAGCCAGCAGGAGAATAGAGGTAGTGAGATTCTAAACCTAGGAAATGCTGTCATTTTCTTTATATTTTTTTTTACATAAAATGAATGCTATCTGAAAATTACAAGTATCCAAATTTGAATCCTCAGTATGAATAAGGATTGAAAATGGGTACCTGAAAACGTAACATTGTATAGTAAAATATATTAGAAGGTGAATTTTTGGAGATGAATACACTAAAAGTAATCTGACCTTGCTCAAATCTACATTTTAATACTAAAGGGTTCTTCTGTGTGCAATGGTTAACAATGTCACTTGTGCCTTAAAAGCCCTGCGTGAACAGATGGAATGCTGCTGGAGTTAAACCTCCAGGTATGTGTTGAAAAACTGGAAACAATAGCACAAAGTAAGACACAAGAATTCAGAATTCAAACATCTCAGGTCATTTTCCACTATGCAGAATACACTCTGAAAAAAAAAATGTGCTTTAATTTCAAATGAACAAGTCGAGTTAATTGCAAAGCTGGCTTATATCCTATGGCCTAAGGTACCAGGCCAAGCTATGAAACAGACTCAAGGTATTGAGTTTAATTTTAATTTTTTTTTCTCGTTATCTATAAACCCCAGGATTTGGACCCCGAAAGGCACTTTCAGATGAGAGAAGGTGGGATGAGCAGACTAGCTCATTTCATCCAACAGTGACATCTGCTGTTCATTCACTAGACTTACCGGGGCTGTCACGTAACATGCAATCTGAGGTGTTAGGGATAATTTGCACCTACGTAGGTAAATTTATATTACAGAAAATACAGAATTGATTACCAAAAAAGAAAGCTTCTGTAGATGTTGGGCCTCACTACTTCCCTTCAAAAAGAGCCTAGATTATTCTTATCGTTTTTTTTGAAATTGCGTTTTATATATAATTATGTTAGAGAGTAAAACCTAAAACAGATAGCAAACTAAATTTTCTGAAAAGAGGTAGATGGAGAAGCATATGGAGTAATGGTAAATTTAAATATTGCCTTTTTATATTTTAAACACATGCAAAGATTCATACATTTCCATGGCAGCGCTTAGTTCTGAATCATCTTACTTCTCCCAGAAAACAGAAGGAAAAAAAATCCCCACAAAACAGTAAGCTTTATTTTCAGAGAAACCATGAGACAAAGAAAGACCCCAAATTTCAAATTATATAACAGACTGTCACGAACAGTACTAAGCTGAGCAAGGAGTACATTTTGGGAAATCAGACATAAATAGCATAAAAAACAGAAGGTAGGAGTCCTAGTGGGGTTAGATCATTAGAGACTCACAAGCAAATACATGAACCCAGAAGTAGAAGCCCCCGCCCCCGACCACAGTCAGAAATGCTGGACCAGAGTTAAGTGCCAACAAGATAGGAGTCTTCAGGGAGATGGAGAAAGAATACTCTAAAAAATGCTCACTGGGGCTCAGAGGCGAATTCCCCGAAAAATAACTACAAAATAATAACTTCTAAAAGTGTATGAATCACTTTGCAACGCAAGGGTTGTATCAGGTTGTATCACTTGAAGGGAGGTTGGTGGCAAACAGGGAAAGCGTAAGGCTTGAGATGGAAATTGTCCCAAACCATTTTGGGCACTACCAAGCAGAACAGCAGTGGCTCCATAATGTCCCCCAAATGAGGCAACAGTCTGTCACAGTAGCAAATGATGAGTGGGCCCTTGAGCTACCAGGCTAGGGCACATTCTACAACCCCTTTCCTTCGTCCTAGAGGAAAGTCCTGCTATTAACCAGTCAAGGAAATTCAACTTTCACATATGAGAAACACTAAAGGAATTTTCTCAGCATTCATGTAAAAATACTATAAGAATAAAGATAAAAAGGAATATATCAACTCTCTTAATCACCAGAAACCTGTTGCTACAAAACAGATGAAAATAGGAATGAACACTTATACATTCCAACATAAATTTTAAGAGCGTAATAAAAGATAAAGAGACCATGAAGTGAAATACAAGAGCATGGGGAAGAGATAGCCAGAAAGTGCAATAGAAACTGGCAGAATCCATGAAAGAAATGGGATTTAAAAACAAAATCATTGTAGAACAAAAAAACTAAATTGTAAAGAGAACAAGGGGGACTGAACCCCAAATAATGTAAGGGTTGTAAAGGGTGTAAGTGAGAAAAGAATATGCAATGAATCCCTTCCCCTGTCCTAAAATCCAAAAACTGTAAAACATAGGATAGAATTAGGAAAAAGTTATTGCCTATATTAAGCCAAGATAGATCATCATAAGCACATATATTTATATTACGGTGTATTATATGCTTATATATGTTTTTAGAATGTTCAACTCCAAGATATATCTCTGTGTGGGACTAAGACTTTAAAGATTAAGAAATTATTGTTTGGGGTTTAATCAAAAACAGTCAACTAACTTACAGAAAAAGAAAATCATTTTGGCCTCAGAGTTTTCCATAGCAAAAGTTAACACCAGAAAATGGGGGGAAATATTGAGAAAGAAGAGAAAGGAGAAGCCAGTGGTTATCCTTATCTTTGCAACATATCTATCAGCTATAAAGTGTACAGTTATAAGCGCCCATAATTGCAGGGAACGCTGTTTACAGAAAGTTCTTATTAAGAGATTTACCACAGGAGAAAGTTCAGTCAACCTAGTTTGGAGTAGGTGAAATACTACCAGTAAGGCAAGAGGTAAGCATTAAATGCATCATATATAGATTTATATAGATTTAAGGAATATATGGTATAGAAAATGTAAATAGACATTTTACTGATGATTCTGATAATGTACAAGTAATTCAACTATAACAACTAGGAGGAGAGAGTAAAAGAAAGGGGAAATAGGAATTAGCTCCCTGATTGCCTCATCTAGAATAGCTGAGAGTAATGGGTTAATTTTAAATCTCAAAATTTGCCCATAATAGTATGAACACATTAAATGGCACAAAGGCAAATATTAAGAAATATCCTGCCACAGGCCGGGCGCGGTGGCTCACGCCTGTAATCCCAGAACTTTGGGAGGCTGAAGCGGGCGGATCGCGAGGTCAGGAGATCGAGACCATCCTGGCTAACACGGTGAAACCATGGCTCTACTAAAAATACAAAAAAATTAGCTGGGCGTGGTGGCAGGTGCCTGTAGTCCCAGCTACTCAGGAGGCTGAGGCGGGAGATTGACGTGAACCCAGGAGGCGGAGCTTGCAGTGAGCTGAGTCCGCACCACTGCACTCCAGCCTGGGCGACAGAGCCAGACTCAGTCTTAAAAAAAAAAGAAAGAAATAAAGAAAAAGAAAAAGAAATATCCTGCCACAAAAATCAAAATCAAATAGTTCAGGAGAAGTTGAGAAAGTAAAAATAGCATAGAGTCTAATTTAATTGCCACTCATTGTGGGGAACCATTAGGTAGTTTTCATATTTTGAGTTGTAATCAACATGAAAGACAGGCTGCAGGAGATTATTCTGCCATAGAATACCAGAAATCCATCTTTTTTTTCTTAAAAAAAAAAGTCATTTCAAACTTGTAATTTGTAAGAAGGAATGCAGATTTAGAGGCATTCATTTTCCATGATTTAACAATGTTACATCTCTATTTCAGCAAATACAGAAAAGATATGGTTCACAGGACAAGAAAGCTAACATTAAGAACTTACATGGAAAGGTATTTCGACAAATAATATAATCCGTCCTACTCCTAAGAGAGGAAAACTTGTATTAGTGAAACTTCTACCAGGTATCACTTTCACCTCAGTTAATCCACAAAAATTGAGTCAGCAACATTTTGTGATCAACCTTATCAAAAATAGTTGATTGATGAAATGTCATTAAAAGAACAGCAGTTATCCATCATTCAGTAAAAATTCATCAATCACTCATACACCAAACTCAATTCCATCTTATACAAAGCACATACAGTACACTGAAAACTGTCAACTTCTGATGATCTAAAAACGTCTCTTCCATAACCATGTGATCACACTGAAATAAAGAATACAGAAAATTCATAGATGGTCAGTTAAAAAAAAAAAGCTTCAGTGAAGCAATAAACTTTTCTTAAAATTGCCAAAATAATAACATACACTACATGATATAACACTCATTTAACTGACATAATCTGTTGAGGCATTTTGTTAATCAAATACTTTGTTTTATATATACTTATAAATGTCATACCAGAATTACACATTTTCTAATGAAATGAAAAAGCATAGCAGAATCTTATGCATAAGTTGATTTTCATCATTGTCTTGAGTTCAATATTACAACATGTGTAATTATGGTACAAGTACAAAACAAATGGTGATTAAAGCATGTCAGAAAACAGATGTTCCTGCATACAGATGGACAATCCAATTAATAATTCTCAAATAAAAAACAGAGCTATTTATTCCTTATTAATGAATGATATAATTATTTATCATTTATGCAGCATGGTGTTTTTAATGTCTCCATGAAGAGCTTAAATATAATTTTCTTAAATATGTATATGGATGGTTAATGTATTTTTCATGTATAATTATTGTAGTTAAAAGATTATCAAATATGCTGATTCCCTCAGTGCCTATGTTTCAGATGCATGACTTGAGCAACAATTTGACAAAAGGCACCAACTTATTGTCTTCTTTTAAATTATATATCTAACACACACACACATACAAAACATTAATAATGATGAAAGTTTTCAGTGTCATAAAAGTAGTATATCTATATCTATATTTTTTTCACAAGAGTTTTCAACTACTCTACTTTTTTCATAAATTTCCACCTGAAGTAAATGGAAATTTTCATTTTTGTAATATATTGCATATTAAAAATGAGCTGAGTTTTTATTGATTTTGAAAGCAACACTTCCAAGTATGAAAGTAATAGCTTTTTGATTGATTCAGTCAGGATGAGTTAGAAGTTGAGACTAAAGGGAGAATTAATCAGAAAGGTTTGATATAAGACCTGTTCATAGTATAGATTTCCATTTTTTGTGTCATTGTTCTATTGTTAGAGACTTGATGGACTGTATGCACCAGCTTGAATGATAAAATGACTGTAACAAGAAATGTAGTAAGTAAAGCTATATATGAATTAAGTCTATTATGGAATTAAAGGTAGAGGGCAGATTTTTACTCATATAATTCTGAGTAAAAATGGTACCTTTTTTAGTCAGGTAAATATGGGATCCTTAAAGAAAAGGGTAAATTGAAGCTTACATAAATAAGACCAACAATATAACTTTGTAGAGATCTATTGGACAGCACAGTGGCTATAGTTAACAGTATGGTATTGTATACTTGAAATTTGCTAGGAAGTTAGATCTTAAATGTTCTTATCACCAAAAAAATTAATTATAGAGTTGATGGATATGTTAATTCACTTGAGGTGATGGATACATTAATTCACTTGAGTGTGGTGATCATTTCACAATATACACATATATCACACCATCAAGAAGTACAACTTGAATATGCACAATTTCTATTGTTGAGTATGTTGCAAAAGAAAGCATGAGGGAAGGAAATATAACTTTATCTTGCTTTACCAAAGAGATGTTCTTGGAAACATGTATGCAAATCACATTTATTACCAATCAAATTACAAATAAATACTACTATTTCACTTTACCACTGAAATTTATTTATTTACTTTGCAGAAGTGATTGAGGAAACATACATGAAGTGCCCACTTTGAGCTAGGTAGTAGACAGTAGAGATAAACCTGGCTAAAACATGATCCCTCTGCACAAATTGATATCTGAACCAATGTGATCATTCAGCTGTGGTTATACCCATGATTTTGAGGGATCTAGACATGTAAGATTCTCAGTCCACCTAAGAGGCCACATGGAGGAGAATGTTGCCCAGAAAAGTGAAACAGACTTTGAAGAGAGAGTTCCTAGGAACTAATCCCCAGGAACATTTAATAAGCATGATGATTCAACAGCTTGGCTAGGAAGGGGGAGATAGAGACAGGGTAATACCTGAAGGGAAATAAATAATTGAAGGACTGGATTGAATACTTAATCATGTCAAAAAATAAAAATAAAAAAGCCCAGAGCCTACATAGCCAAAGCAATCCTAAGCAAAAAGAACAAAGCCGGATGCACCACACTGCCTGACTTCAAACTATGCTATAAGGCTACGGTAACCAAAACAGCATGGTAGTAGTACAAAAGCAGACACATAGACCAATAGAATAAAATAGAGAGCAGTGAAATAAAGTCACATGCCTATAACCATCTGATCTTTGATAACACTGACAAAAACAAGCCATAAAAATCATAAAAGAAAATGTACGTGATACCCTTCTTAACATTAGCCTTGGCAAAGAACTGCTTTTGGCTAAGTTGCCAAAAGCAATTGCAACAAAAACAAAAATGAATAAGTGGGACCTAATTAAACAAAAGAGCTTTTGTACAGCAAAAGAAACTATCAACAGAGTAAACAGACAACCTACAGAATGGGAGAAATATTCACATACTATGCATCCAACAAAAGTATAATATCCAGAATCTATAAAGAACTTAAATAAACAAGCAAAAAACAAATAACCCCATTAAAAAATGGGCTAAGGACACGAACAGACGCTTCTCAAATGAAAACATACAAAAGGCCAATAAACACATGAAAAAATGCTCATTATCACTAATTATCAGAGAAATGCAAATCAAAACCACAGCGAGATACCATTTCATTCCAGTCAGAGTGGCTATTATCAAAAAGTCAAATAACAACAGATTCTGGCAAAGTTGTGGAGAAAAGGGAATGCTTATACACTGCTAGTGGGAATCTAAATTAGTTCAGTCACTGTAGAAAGCAGTTTGGAGTTTTCTCAAAGAACTAAAAATGGAGCTATCATTCAACTCAGCAATCCCATTACTAGGTATACAACCAAAAGAAAATTAATTATTCTACTAAAAGGACACATGCACTTATACATTCATTGCAGCACTATTCACAATAGCAAAGACATTAAATCAACCTAGATGCCCATCAACAATGGATTGTATAAAGAAAATGTAGTATGTATATAACGTAGAATACTATGCAGCCATAAAAAAGGATGAAATCATGTCCTTTGCAGCAAAAGAGGTGTAGCTTGAGGCTATGATCCTAAGCAAATTAATGCAGGAATAGAAAACCAAATACCACATGTTCTCACTTGTAAGTGGGAGCTAAACATTGGTACTCACAGACATAAAGATGGAAACAATAGACACTATGGACTACTAGAGATTTTCCTTAGGATTTTCCAGCAGCACAGGGTTAAGAAAGAAGGAAGACAACTGGGTTGATCCATGAAGGTTTTTCCAGTTAAAACAAAATAGAATAGGGGAGTTGAGAATATTATCAAGAACTGTTAAGTGATGGAGAGTGGAATCTAGGTTGGATAGACCCGATGTGTGAGGCCATGTAAGCATTAAAAGATGGGAGGTCTAAACAGGGCCCAAAAGAGATGTGGTGGAACCAATGGGGTAAAAGAGTTGTAAGGAGGATAGAAAAGTTTGGACTATATGATTACAGGGGTAGAGCATTGCTGGCTTCCTTGTCTCATGTGTCCCATAAATCATTAATTCAGTATGTCAGTTCCATCTCCTTCAACCCCTTCTTCAGCCCTCGTGGTAGTCTTGCTTGATGACTTCATCCTCTCATATGTGGTCTAATCTTCTGAAGTCATCTAAAGAGGCTTTCTTCTCCAACTTCACTTACTGTCAAACCAATAAATCCTTTAACATCTTGGAACAAGTTTCCTAAGGTGTAAATCTGATGAGGTCACTTAACTACTTAAATCCATGTTAAAATAATTTACATGAACTCTATGCTTGGGAAAACTATACACATGTAAGTCAAGAGCTACTTAGAGAATTCCAAGTGTTAATATTTGTGAGATGCTTACAGTGGTCTCTGTCACACCCAACAAGATTCAGCCTTGCTGATGTTATGTATGGTAGAAAGAGAATTCAACCTAGAGATTAGAGTTCTAGCCTCCCTTGGCTACGTCATATATTAACTAATACTCTCAGAGTAAGTAAAACTACTCTGAATCTTGCTTGTTCATATGTAAAGAATTAAAATTAATTTGTTTTAAGCAGCCTTTAGTTCATAAATTCTATGATTTCTTAATTTGCTATCAGATTAGTAGCCAATCATATGTAGATAAAATCCCATATCAAGTTAGCCTGTATAAAAGAGGAAGATGGATAATTTTTTTACATGATAGCATTACTAAAACTTCTATTTGTAATTTTTTTCTATCATTCACTTAAGAATTATATAAATATATATTGATCAGCACTACGAGAAAGGCAAAAACAAAAAACAGGGATTTTTCTAGTAGTAATATTTTTACTTAACTCCTAAAATGTTACAGTATCTAAGTAATGACAGTAGTCATTTAAAAATCACAAAGGGTTCAATTGCCACAGGCACTACATTTTTGCATATTTATAAAAATTGAAAACTCAGTATAAAGATATTCTTTTTCATTATCACTAAGAAAACAGAAAACTAAAACTATCATTCAAGGATATTTCACATAATTTTAAAGCATCTGTCTTTTGCCCAATGTATACCAATATGTATTTAATATTTATATAGACACTTTAACATACCTACATTTGTCAATTTTTTAATAGCAAACAGTGATGTAAGTAGGAGGCAAGTTTCATAAGGACAGATAAAATATACCATGGAAGAATTAAGTACCTTTCTTATAGGAAGAAATCAAATGCTTACATTTTTACTTTCCATCCCTGAATCTTCTGGGTACAGGATGCTCTTTAAACATTGGCCAGTAGGCAGTGGCCTTGACATCTATTCTGTAAACTGGTAGAGCATCACTAGAGCTCTTAGTTCAAAGGAATCAATCTTAGTGATATGGTTTGGATGTCTTTCCCCTCCAAATCTCATGTTGAAATGTAATCCCCAATGCTGGAGTTGGGGCCGGGTCGGAAGTGTTTGGGTCATGAGGGTGGATGCTTCATGAATAGCATGGTGCCTGCCTTGTGGTAATGAGTGAGTTCTCACTCTGTGTTCACACAAGTTCTGATTGTTTAAAAGAGTGTTGCACTTCCCCTCTTTCTCTCTTGCTCTGTCTCTTGCCATGTGACATGCCTGCTCCTTCTTCACCTTCCACCATGAGTAAAATCTCCCTAAGGCTTTACCAGCAGTGGAGGAGATGATGGCAATATGCTTCCTGTAGAGCTTGCAGAACCATGAGACCATAAACCTCTTTTCTTTATAAATTACCCCATCTCAGATATTCCTTTTTAGCAATGAAAACAGACTAACACACTTAGTATAGATCTCTGAGCTCTAGGCTGCCACAAATCTCAGCTGAACTTGCTCCGGAAATCTCCAAAGTTTCCCATTGTACTTGAAAATGGTCTCATGAATTCTCAGTTCATAAAATATTATTCAAATACATATAGGGGAATATCAACATACTTACATATCAGATGTGTTACCAATATAAGGGGGTCAGGTTTTGGGTTCATACAGGTATTTTCTCACTTCTCATACAGGAAAATGAAGGGTGCTTAGACTTCTGCGCCTCTCTAGATAATAAAATGTCTTAGATCTTTGAGCCATTGCTATTTTACACCCTAAGGTTTATCTTTCTAGCTTCCACTTATATTTGCTTGTCTTATCCGGTCTAAATAAACCTATATACAATTCAGAATGAAGTCATAAATTGAACCTGGTGTTTCTGTCTATCCAATCTTGGAAATCCATTTTCTCTCTCCTAATGTATCTTTCAAAACAAGCCCAACTATATTTTTGTAAAAACCTAGTGTGGAAAAATACAATCTGGAAAACAGTATCTGCAAGCTTCATCTGTAGCCATATAAGTCAATAGATCTTCATGACAGTTCTTCAAACCCATATAAAAGATCAATATTAAGGCATTTACCGGTGAGGATTTCAACATTGTGCCACAGATGGTAACTTGCTGGCCCAATTTCCCACCTCCAACTCGCTCTTCTGTAAAAGCTCAGCTAAATCTAATCAGAAACATCACGTAAAAAGAGACCTATATTGTCCAATATACTTTTAACATTTTCAAAGAAATAATTGCCATCCTTTTTCTCTCTCATCAAACATAATGTGTTTATGTTCATCAAAGTTAAGATATTTGAATGAAAATAACTCAAGAGAAAGAGGGACTCCCAAGCTAATGGGACACCTTTACATGAGTGGTTGTTACATGATAGTTGACCAAACTGCCTTCTTTGTCAAGGGTCATAGGCATAGAGAAATCAAAGATTTGTCATTTAAATTAGGGAAGATAAGATGTACTGTGTTTGTCTGTTGTGGATATATCTGGGTAAAATCTTGAACAACAAATAAGCCAGAATGCATTCAGATCTGTTTAATGGAAGACTGTGTGGTGCAGCTCTCCACCACTGTGCATATGAGATAAGCCGTCAGCAGTAGAGCAACAGCTCACATATAGTACTTAGATATGCATAATTTTGAGAGCCCTAGTGGTAAGCAGGGAAGAATGGATGACTGGCTTGGAAAATGTCAAAGCTGCAGTGGAATTCATCTCCAGCTGCTTAGTAGATGGCTCCCAAGGCCCCATCAGGAAAGGATGCAGACTCTCAAACAAATTGACTCCCATGCTTAAATTTGTTCCTTTCTATCTATTTTCTTAGAAACCTGAGCCAATTTCAGAGGAGATATCTATTTGAGATCCTGGAGCAAAGAAAATCCTAGAATGATGACATGACTATTTGTTTCCTATTCTCTCTAAACAATGGAACATGTTGGATACATCCCCTTATGTGGTAGACTGAATAATAACAAGACTGTATGATTTAAGAAAGAAAAATTATAAAAAACCAAATATGTATACTTTCGTTACAAGTTTCTTTAACTCTGGCTAGATTTCTGTGGCAAAAATGATGCTTTGTGGTCATCAAAATTAATTTGTTACTTTTCCCAGCCTCTCTTGCACTCAGACGGCCATGTTGTTGAGCTTTTGTCAGTGGAAAATAAGCAGAAACGTTATAGGTTACCCCCAAGCAAATCCTACTAAAACCTACTGTGTGATTCAGCTTACCCATTCCTTACCCACTACCTGAATGAAGAGGACTCCATTAAGGCAAAGGAGGCAAGATCCACATGATGGAAGAAGCCTGCATCCTTGAGTCACTCTTCAGTGCAAAGCTTGTGACCTAGGTTTATTGGTTGGTTTGGTGAGACAGAAACTTATCACGGCAAGACAGAGAGACTTGAGCATCATCTTTTATAACAGTTTGCTTATCCTAGTTAATACAATCACTGTTATGTCACAAATATCTATACCTTGGTAATTAAAATCTGTTGATATACAGAGTGAAGATAGGAGTGGGAAACAGGGAGGAAGCTTTTTCAAAATTAAGTGAGTAATATTTGTAAGGATCTCATACTTCTCTACCTGGGTACATTACATCTTGGGTTTCTTCCTCCAGGCTCAGTCATAGACCCAACTCCCTTGTCACTTTATAGTATTTCCCTAGGCAATTTCATCTATATCTATGAGATCTATTTCCTCTGGTGATTTGTCATACAGTTTATAGGTCTAACTTATCCTTTAAGGTCAAAACCAGCAAAGTCAATTTTGCACTTGACATTAACTCTCAAAAACATTTCAAATTTAACATCTAAAGGTAAACGAATGCTCCTCCCATGCATTAGCTGTGTTCCAGTGACTTCTATTTTGGGAAATTATACCACCCATCAATCAAACTTAAGCCAAAAACCTAAAGGCTGTTCCTGATACAATGTGTCTCAGTCTGTTCAGGATCCTATAACAAAATCCACAAAATCTAGATGCCTGATAAACCACAAAAAATATCATTTCTTTACAATTCTAGAGGCTGACAGTCCAAACTCAAGGTACCAGCAGATTCAATATTTGGAAAGGGCCACCCTTCTGCTTCATATACAATGCTTTACTGCTGTGTCCTCACATGGTGGAAGGAACTAGTAGCTCTCTGGTTTCTCTTTCATAAGAGCACTAATTCCAATTATGAGGGCTCTGCAGTCATGGCTTAATCATCTCCCAAATGTCCCACTTCTTAATAACATTGCTTTGGGGGTTAGGATTTTAGCCTATGAAGTTTGGAAGACACAAACATTTAGACCATAATACCATATGTCCCACTCTCCTCAGAGCCAAATGATTAGCAATTCAGATGAGATTATTCTTATCCATAAGAGTATATCCATGGCTTTCATATTCACCTATCTTGCCTTTCTTTTTCACTATCCTAATCCACAGTACTGTTACGACCTGCTGCCATGATTCAGTAAGTCATCTTCCCATATCTATTTAGCTCCCATTTAATCTACTCTGCCTACTGCAGTCAGAGCAATTATTTTTTCCAAATGCAAATCTAGCTCACATACCCCTCAGCTTAAAACCCTGTGTAAATTTTTATTTTGGATAAAGAGCAAATCACTTATCTATTATGCGTATCTATTATTTTCCATAGTAGATCTGGAGATAAGAAACTGAGAGAAGACTGAATGTCTTGTGGTCAATGTTGGTATGTTTGTGAATACTGCTCTGTTAGCTTGAAGTGAAGGGTGACCCTTGAAACTTGAAGGAAGTGATATCATCTGGGGTCCCGTTGCCTCTGCAAGGAATATGGGAACTCTCAACCATCTATCTTTATTATTCCTAGTAAAGGAACAGTATCAAACACATCATTCAATAATCGAAGTCATTTCTGGGACGCTGTTCATGTTTATGAGCCAAAAAGGGGCAGTGTTTGTCCAGGAGTCAGTGTAAATTCTTCAGCTGCTATCTATTCTGTTTCAAAACAAAACTTAAATCCCAACTTTGCTCTTGGAAGACATCCAGTTTTTTAAGATAAAAATGAAGTATTCCTATTTTCAGTGACCGTCAGACAGCTAACATCGGTCACAGAAAGCAATTATGTTACAATACATATTTAAAAGCAAGTATTACTCTCAAAATAATAATTTAGAGAGCAATCTGCAATGTGTCACTGCCCAGGGTCATGCCTGAGCCTACCCCCAAAAAAGTGTTTGTGAACTTTTCTTGATACTTAACTCATTTTTTACAATACTTCACTTCTGATACCTAAGCAAGGCAGATGTAAAAATGCTTTCAATTAATTATTTTTAAAACTTCTGCCTCTAAATCATTGCCAACCTCTCTTTTAACTTCTGATTTTTCCCATTTTGGTACAGACCTAGAAAATTTTCTTCTTTTGTATACTGACATAGGCTATGAAGTTTTATAGCCACTTCATAAAAGTGGCTTTTGTCACTTTTAAAAATAAATTCCTTAATAACTTTTAAATCCTAAGACTTATCTTAAAGCAGCAGTGTCAAAAAGAGGGTCCCAGGGAAGCATAGCTCAGGTATTTGAGAGGACATATCCACTACAAGGGACACAATATGGTCTTGTTTCCAGAGATATTTAATGAAGACAAACTATGATGCATCATATACAAGCAAATAAAACACTACCAGGACAGCTAATATAACAAAATTGATCAAGTTTAAATTAACATGTATTCAGCAAGACATGCAAATTATCATGGTAGTTATACATCAAATGATACACAGTGTCAGTCTTCAGAGAACTTACATTCCAATGGGAATGACTTCTAACTACAAATCACTATGATACACAGTAGAATACACTAGATACTACAAATGAAATGAAAACAAAATGACTTGGTATAGTGTGCAAACAATGAAAGGAAGGTTTTGAAGATTGTTACAACACAGCTTCCCTAGCTAATACCTGAGAAAACTTGGACGTGTGGCATATATGTTTCGGTACCTTTTAGCATATATAATGGGTTTATTAACATTTCTTCATTGCATGGATGAGATGAATACATAAAATAGTATGTATAAATACCCAGACCTTTGCAGGGTGTATAGTAAATATTGTGTTAAAATGGAACTCTTTTATCTTTCTATAGAAATACTCTATGCAGTGATTACTTCTGGCTATGATACATAAAAACAGGAAAATCTCAGTAGAGAAAAAATATGTATTCATGATACATGATTTGGGTTTTTCCAAAGAACAAAAACTATGAATTGGGTTACAAGGATTTCATGTTAAAACAACAGTAGGAATAAAGACATGGAGTAGAAGATACACATGTTGAGTAGGTTAAACAGGCCTGAGCAAAGAAGCACATAATGAAATGTCAGGAGAACAGACTAGAAATTCCTCTAAGCCTGTTGTGAGAGCCAAAGAAAATCCATCTGGATTTGACCGTTGATAATGAGGAATTTCTGAAAGTTTGACCTATAGCAGTTCTGAAAAAATGCTTCTAAACAAACTAGATCCCTTTGACAGATAAGGGAAATTATGGATATGTAATGCCACTTTAAAAATTTCAAATGCATATTAACAAAGCAACAGCAAAAAGCAAACCCCATTTAAATTTGTTTAACCTAGATTTTATGAACTTATTTACTAAGCAAACCCTCCCATCTGTATTTCCCTACTTGTAATACTTATTAAGAATTACTATTTTGGTGTCGTTGGAATATACTTAGAGAAATGCAGTCTAACCTCTGATTTAAGAAGACAACTCTGGCAGAACCATCAATTGGAAAAAGGAGAGTTTAGATGCTAGGAGGCCATTACAATAGCTCATTTGAGAGCTAATCTGTGCATGACTCTGATACGAGAAAATAAAATTGAGAAAAAGGCATGCATTGGAGGCAACAATCCTCGGAATGTGATTGACTATAGAGAATAATGAATATGGAAGACCCAGAACAGACTTTAAAATGTTAAGCCCAAATGACTGTCTGACAGGTGGTATCTGTAATGAAAATTGGAAACTCTGAAGGAAGAACAAGATTCTGAGGAAAAGACTAATTTTGTATGTGTTGAGCTTGAGGGCCTGCTTTGGAAGTAACAGGCAGCTGAAGATTTCATTTCATGTCAAAGAAACTTAATTTAAAATCCAGCAAGTACTAAATTCAGAGCTAAATGTGAAGGACCAAAATAAGAACAAAGCACTGTCTGCACTCTGGAGGTCAGAAATTTTCTAGACTCATGCCCTGGTTAGGGCAGATCCAGAAATCATTTAGAAATGAAATTTTGGACATGCCCATGCATCCTGTGAGCCTGTCCTTTCTGTCAGAAGTCACGGAGAGACCCAAATGTCAAAAAGGGACACATTCTTTTGTTGAGGCACAATATTTTGGCATTCCAGTCTCTTTCTGAAAATACAACATTGGATTCTTTGCAGCCAAATTCTTAAGAAAAGTTTGGTATTGGAGACTAATATTCCATAAAGAATTATCTGAAGCATGAGGAAATCATCCCTTTAGATCAGTGGACTTTTTTGCTTTAATTTTTAATTGACACATCATTGTACATATTTATAGGGTATAGGGTGATATTTTGGTTAGATAAGTGTTTATAGCATGTTATGTGAAGCTTCTGACAAGAGTCAGGGAGCATCTTAGAAAGCAAAACGGAGTCTATAAACAGAGATGTAATGAATGCTAAGCAAGTATTCATGCACTCCCAGGTATTTCAGAGACTTCCAGTCATGTGGGATCACATGGAAAGATCTAAGAGACTCTGAGGTGAAGTGCCACGAATCAACTCATTCGTGAATTTGGGGCTGAAGCAATAAAAAGCCCCTGCCTCATTCCCAAGTTCTCCCTTTTTCCGCTTCCAGTACTTTGAAGGTTATGTGCAATGCGTGTCATAGGTTAAGGATAGAGGAGTTTATTCTGACTGACATTCAACTTTATGTGAGCAGCCAACAAACTTTGGTTTGGTTGAGCCACTGAGAATTCAAGCTTAGAATCTTCTTGTTGCTGTTGCTGTTTACTAACACAGTGGGATTTCTACAGGGCTCAAGTAGGCACAGAAATTCCATGTGAACAAGGATGTCTGACGTTGGGCTTCTGTGTAAATTGTGCTGATGAAAAATGTTAAGCAGATAAAAATTTTAGAAATTCATTGCTCCACACTGTATCAATGCTATTTTTGTCTCAGCTGAAACCATCCTAAAATTATACATTTAGATCATACTATCTTCAATAGAATTATTTTTACCGAGTTGCTTTTTGATGTTATACGTAAGCCTTACATAATTCACAAGTGAATTCATACACAAATATTATTGAGTCTATTGCCCACCATGTCAGAGAGGTTTATGAGAGCTCAATGCAGGAATGCCTCAGAAGTGGAAAAATCTGTAATTTCTCCAAAGAAACTATTACAGTTTTAACAGAAAGAATGATGGAAAACAATAAGATAGAAAATCATATGAAGGAGTAAGGAAGATGGGGCATGATTAAAGGGATTGTTTGATGGCAATAAGGATGAAAATGTGTAATTGAAATTCTTCAGGTTTCACATAGAAATTGCACCATTTTATGCTAGCAGACATAATGTTTAGAAGTTTTTAAGAAAAGAAATTTCTGAATCATGGTTTATACTGTTTTAGGTCACAGGAACTAGTAAGCATGTGTCACTATGTAGACTATTAGTCAACACTTAGATCACGCTTTTCAATAAAGAATGTAAAATTGTGAGAGGAGAATTAATAAATCCAATTGTTACAGTCACTCAGCTGACATGTTGAAGTGCCTGGAAAATTTCTCACATGAATAATGGGTGAAGAGTCAAAGAATGATTAGTTTGGGGAAAAGAAGACCTGCTGGGGTTTTGGAAAGGGTATGTGTTTGCATTTAGTACTGTTTAGGGTGGTAGCTGTATGGTCCCGACCTTCACATATTTATTGGGCTGCCATGTGTTAGGTGGAAACATAAAACTGTCATTTTTTTTTGTAGGACAAAAAAGGCTGAATACTGACAATTTCATATGGTTCCACCTAATAGAAAAGAAAACAGAGTTATCTCTGAATTGTTTATCTACGGTAGAATTTGGGACAGTACTTAGAATTTATAAAAATTAAATTTTAGACTAAAATAAAATAGATATATCTAGAGTTGTTCAAAAATGAAAATATAGCTGAAATATCAAGCACTATAATAGAGTTCATATAAGAATTCCATGCTTTATATTTGAGGTTGGATATGTGTTTTTTCTTTATTCCTTTCATTTTTATGGATCTAACCTTCTATAATTTTTTAAACATTCTGATAGAGATGTTCTTTGGTGTTCTTTTTTCTCTTGATTTAAAGATCTGCTTTACAACCAAACAGTAAGATTAAACAAAACAAAACAATGCCCATGGCTTCATGGTCGTTCTATCCATTTAGAAAGGCCTCGTGCATGACCTATGATGGGCATCTTGAAATTCTTTGTAATTTTTGAACAAAGGGATCTACATTTTCACTTCTTACTGGGCCCTGAAAATTATGCACCCAATTATAAAGGTATATTAATTCTAGGCCATCAAAGGCTAGCTTATAACTTTCAAATTACATTTGGGAATTGTTCTTACATAACAGCATTTATTGCTCCAAAGATCATTTTGTAATAACTACTAAATAATCTATATCAATGTGCATTTGGAAAACCGTGAAAAATTTCTAAAAGTGCTCTGATGTTCTATGTAACAATCATGAAATGTTTCCAAAGTCGTAAATAAAAAAAAAATAGAAAATCTGAGAGACAAAAAGGAAATCTATGATAATATACCAATGCAATTTCTTGAAAATAGATATACATGAAACAAAGAATAAAGGAACAGCAGGAAAATGTACCACTATTGTGGTTACAGCTTCTAGGCAACCCATTAAAATGACAACCAAACACAGGTAGCAACAGATGTATCTACCACCAAATAAACTGAAATTAAATCAAGTGAAAAATTTCAAATGAAGTAACTGTTCAATGAAAAGGAAAAAGAATAAAAATCACATCTGCTTACATGGCAATGAAACATGAAAGAGTCTGCTAAAAGTTTACGTTGAAAATTAAGATGGAGGTAATCTATGCAATTTCATCCAAAAATAGAAAACAACGAATTAGTGGATCAATGCCAATGTTAATTTTGAAAACCTCAAAAAGAAGAAAATTAAGATATGGTTGATAGATTCCCTAAGAAAACCCTGCCAAAATTCTAAAGGATACAAAGTCTACTCAATTTAATAACAAATGGCACATTTCTGTTTCTTAAAAGACATATGCATAATCTGTGAGTGCATCTTCTACTTTAGGGACCATTTGAATTAAAATCCTTACATTCTTATGAATGTTTTAGAAATATGTACAGTAAATGAATAAAGCCTGTAGTTATTTAAGAATAATATTTAAAATTATTTACTAAATCTTTAATATTAAAATAATAGTACATGCCACCCAGTCATAATCCAAAAAGCCAAGGTGATTGTGGAGTATTGAGGCTGAGAAAGAGTTAGATCTAAACAAACCTACTCTGGACTTCACTGTCAAGGAAAAGAATTGAGAGGAAAATTTTTGAAACCTACTTATACTTGTGAGATTGATGATGAGAAACAATCTGTGAAATATTGCCGTTTCTCTGGAGTAAAAATTTTAAATGATTGGTTAGCACAATGTCCCTTTCTCTTCACCTTCACATCTTTCTGCTTTGCTCCTCAGATCTCAGGCATGCTGAGGTTATAATGTCTTTACGTCTACCTTAGGTTTACTATTTTAAAATTGATTTTTGATGTTGTTGTGTGCATGAATTCTGTCTTAATACAGGAGAATGGGGTGTGTATTTCTGAAAGTCCAGAGTTGTAGGGGCAAAGAAGGGATTTCTGGAGTCCCCTACGTGCCTGCTTACAGAGGTTTCCTTCCTGATATTGTCAACTTCTAGAATTCTTGCTCTTGCTCCATTTTAAAGCCCTGGGCACAGTTAAGCATCTTTTCCTGTCCCTCATTTATGCTACCATGAGGCTCTTTGGAACATGAAATGTGCAGTGTGACCAATTGTTGGCTGCCCAAACACACAAACTTTAGGACTTTTCATTCTGGCCTCCTATACTGAAACATCGCTCACATTTAGTAAAGGAAGGGGCACTCTGTTAAACTCACAACATTCTCTCTTTACTTTATGGAGTCATATAGAGTTATTCCACTAAGTCCTTTGGCTTCATCCCATGGAGACCTTCCTATGAAAATTGAATCTATGTGAGAGCAGGTAGAGAGAATACTCATTAATGTCATTTACAACAACTTCAACTAGTGTCTCCAAGTGGAACTGATATTTAGAGGACAATCTGGCAGATTAGGATGGGGAAGGAGAGTGGCTGATGCATGCAGAGAAGTAGAAATATTGTTCTTCTTGTTAAGAGTCTGTTTATCAGGTTAAACACAGTCAAGTGATCATTCAGTTGAGTCTAATAGCTCAGTAACTGAGAACAGATGGAGAATATGTGGATATGTGTCTGTGTGTACACCCACATGCAAAATCAGTTGCCCTGACTTTATCTTACTAACATCAATCTATTTATTGATTTTGATAGGAAGAGTATGTATTTTAGATACCTCAAGAATGTCTCCTGAAATACTTCCATATTCTTGCCCTTTGAAGAATCTTTTTAAAGGAAGAAAAATAATTATAAGCAAAGAATCCATTTTCCCAATGACTCCATTTTCATCTCCTTATCCCAGTGATAAAATTCATGGCTTGGGAAGAGTGGGATGTCTGCAATGCCTATCTATACCATGTAGCTACACCATTAGTTTTAATAGCCTGTTCACTTGAACAATTTCTAAGTATGTGGTAAAAGAAACCAAACTAAAATAATAATGCATTATATTTGAAAACACCAGTATCCTGTAAGCAAAACTTCCATAAGTTGTTCTTCCTAGATTGAAACTAGAACTAACCCATTTCCAAAATCATCTATATTTTTCTGAAGACAAAAAAAAAGTTGCTACAGATAATTGCCATAGACTGCAAATATTCTAATTTATACAATAGTTCTCTCTTGTTGCATGTTGTGTAGATAAATATAATGCATCAATATTAGAATAGTATATATTGTTATTAAATGTTAATGCAGAATTCTAAATTTTCTAGCATTCACAGAAAAGCAAACTATTGATAATAAATAGTATTTAAAGAGAAATCTTATCTACTACAATAAATTGAGAAATCCAGGATATTAAGACCGCAAAAAATGATTGTTTAGATGATTTAATTATAGCACGACAGGGTTTTCTGCTGATAATGTTATAATTACGTCTTAATAACCCAATCTTAACAAAAATAATTAGAATACAAATGGTGAGCACAAAAATCCATCTCATTTGTAGCTCAGACTAGTATTTCAAATGTAATTTCTCTATTAGTAATTTAGTTTGATTTTCATAATTCATTAGAATAAATCAATAACTGACTGAGAAATCACTTCTATGATTTTAAGTATTTTTCCACAGAAACATTAACAATACCGCAAGCATTAAAATATTGAGAAATATTTGTATACGATGATTTCAGTAGATGTTCCTTTCCTCATCTAATAAATTCTAACATAAAGTTTTCAGATCTGTACACAAAGATGGATCATAAAAAATATAATCATGGTAGAAACTATGTAGCAATTTTATGAATGTGGAGAAAGAGTTCAAATAGTACTTTTGTACTGTACTGTGTCCATGCAAAGCCTCATTCAAACAAACAAAAACAATACTGAATTTATTTTGTTAAAATCTTTAAGGACACTCTGGTAGATGAGATTATTTTCCTGCATTTGTTCACACTCTCCCCAATCTCCATCTCTAAGGGACAGATATAATTCCCCACTCCTTGACTTCGATCCTTGCTGTGTGGCTTTGCTTAAGCCAAAGGGGTAGCTTAGAGGATTTAAGGCAACAGAAGCCGGCATGTTTTTGCACAGGCAGGTTGCACTCCTGAATTTTGCCATAACAATAACATGCTTCAAGTACCTGGGGGCACTGAGGAGGATAACAAATACATGGAACAGGTCTGGATATCAGCTTCAGCTTCAAGCCAATGCTAGTCAAGCCTAGCCTAGATCAGCTGAACTGGGTCTGACCAGAGGTGCATGAACAACAAAAAATGCTTATTAATATACTCCAAAGCTTTGCATAGATTTTTTTTTTTTTTTTTTTTTTAGGTGGAGTCTCACTCTGTCACCCAGCCTGGAGTACAGTGGTGCGATCTTGGCTCACTGCAACCTCTGCCTCCCAGGTTCAAGTGATTCTCCTGCCTCAGCCTCCCGAGTAGCTGGGACTACAGGTGCATGCCACCATGCCTGGCTAATTTTTTGTATTTTTAGTAGAGATGGGGTTTCACCGTGTTAGTTAAGATGGTCTTGATCTCCTGACCTCGTGATCCGCCTGCCTCGCCTCCCAGAGTGCTGGGATTACAGGTGTGAGCCACTGCACCCGGCTATTTTGCATAGATTTTTTAATGCAGAATCATTGTGGCAATGGCTGATGGCTACCAAGGTGCCATCGTTCAATATTCCTGTTATTCAGTCATCACATCTACTATGTGTAAGCCATAATATCTTCTAAAATGAATTATAATTATATTCTAATTGAAGTAAATGGCATCACAATATTTCACTAAGTAATCTCAACCAGTTTATTCTCCATTCCATCTCAAATCGGAATGTCTTCTGAGTTCCTATAATTGTGACTAATTCTCTGAGACTAAATCAGAAATATCACTATAAACTATGAAACCTACAAAGGGGATTCCTCTTTTTCCTTTTTATTATAGAGATGCTTTTTCGTTTGTTTTTGCAAGCGAGTATGGTCTTAATCAATTTCGTATGCCCATACCTAGGAGAGCCCCTGATTCATAATAAGACCTCAATAAGATTTGTTGAATAAAGTGAAAATATTATTTTCAGCTTTCCTTCACCACTTTCTTCAAAACAGACTAGTTCATAACTGAAATAGGCATTGTTTCTAGAAAACATTCACTCCAGCTGATCCCCTCATTTAATCGTTTTTGTACTCCCTGAATCTATCATAATACCTAGCACCTAGTGGGTAAGGAATCAATGTTTGTTCACTGAATTAATGGAAGGATGAGTGAATGAAACAATACAGGAATTTTAAAATTATAATGCAAGATTGAAAGCGTATTACTTGTCATTAGAGTGATTTTAAACAGTTAAGTATATGATAATTAGGAAGATTTACTTTCCTGCTTCATTTAAATTTTAAATATAGTGATCAAGGTAATTATGATTTTCATTCATTTATTCAATAAATATATATTTAATATTTTTCATATCACGTGATTGATACTGGTTAAAGACATTTCAATGGTATTACACATAAAATTTTGTTTTAAATTTACAATATCTTGAAATTTTTCTCTTGTTAAAAATCCACGAAGTGGCCGGGCACAGTAGCTCACGCCTGTAATCCCGGCACTTTGGGAGGCCGAGGCGGGCGGATCACGAGATCAGGAGATCGAGACCATCCTGGTTAACACGGTGAAACCTCGTCTTTACTAAAAGTACAAAAAATTAGCTGGGCGTGTTGGCAGGCACCTGTACTCCCAGCTACTAGGGAGGCTGAGGCAGGAGAATGGGGTGAACCCGGGAGGCGGAGCTTGCAGTGAGCCACTGCACTCCAGCCTTGGAGACAGCAAGACACTGCCTCAAAAAAAAAAAAAAATTCATGAAGTATATTTATAGGTTGGGAAATATACATTTTAAAATGTCAGATAATGATATTTTTATTTTCTATTTTATTTTATGATTATTATTTTTGATACAAGATCTCACTATGTCACCCAGGCTGGAATGCAGTGGCATAATCACGGCTCACCACAACCTCAACCTCCCAGGCCCAGGTGATTCTCCTACTTCAGCCTCCTGAGTAGCTAGGACTACAGGTGCCCACCACCACGCCCAGCTAATGCTTTACTTTTTTTTTTATTTTTATTTTTGTAGAGATGGGTTTTCACCATGTTGCCCAGGCTGGTCTCAAACTCCTGGGCTCAAGCAATCTGCCAGCCTCGGCCTCCCAAAGTGTTAGGATTCCATTACAGGCAGGAGCCACCACTCTAGGCCAGATAATGATACTTTTTCAAGAACAGGTAAAACATTGTCCTTTAATGAATTAGTGCAGAAGCATGAAAAATCTATTATGAGCGAATCTGTGAAACAGGCATTGAAATTAGTATTCTAATAAGACTTTTGTGCTTTTGGATGATATAAAATAATTTTGCTACTCAATTCTCATTAATAATAATGACAATACAGTAACTTAAATCAGAATTAAGTATGAATAACTTGCTTTGATATGTTTGTGGTATGTTTCACTTATTTTTAAGAAGGGAAATTATTGAATTTAAACTCTATATATGTAAAGAGTGCACATCAAATATTTTTGAAACGCTGAAGAATTAGGTCTTCATTTCAACAATTATTAAGTGTCTTAAGAATATATTTATTTTCTAGAAATATTGAGCCTCTTCTTGGGTAATGTGATTCTTTTAAAAATTTTGAAAGGATTTTCTTATTAAATTAAAAATGAATGTATACAATGGGAAGTTACTAGGAGAGAGTGAATTTAGCAACTATCTTGCTTTGTTATATATGTCTTATGAATTAAAATTGTATTTTCATAATTAAAAGCCGACAAGCTCATTTGCTTTTATAAGGCTAAGAGAAAAGGAGTATTAAATGAAGTTGAATTAGATTTTACCATCTGTTTAATAAGTTTCAGGCCTGGTTTGATAATATATTCCCAGATATATAATTTAAAAATGATCTTTTTCAGAACTAGTAATTGACATGATAGTAGATAGGTATATAAATGCCTATTCAGACTCATTACTATAAAACTCATGATTTGTTTTATTGCTAATGAAACTGCTTAAGTTTCAATCACATCAATGTGAAACATATAATGCAAAACTTACATTCATAAGGTGTATCATATTTCATAAGTTTATTATAATGCACATTTTAATTTACTTAATTTGGTTTTTAATGGAACTATATAGTATTTATTTCACTTCTTCAATATTCTATGCCATAGAAACTTTCCTACTGATTCCCTACAAGCATATTCCTCTCATAAGTCAGCCTGCTTTCAAGGTGCATTAACTGCTTCAAAACTATAGGGGGCCATCTGGTTAAGTGCTGCTGAACTGCAAGAAATATATCCAGGAATTGCTCTGCTCTGACAAACTACGTCGTCAAAGCACATTCATAAAATTACATTCAAGTGATTACAGAGTACATTTATTGAGTCCGCAAAACATTATGGACTCATATGTACCTGCAGAAAGGTGAGAATATGCATGAGCCAGTCAAAAGCTATGTATGGCAAAGGAGTGCTCTAAAAGATGATTAGAGAGATAGAGAGATTGATTGATTGATTGATTGTGCATACTCAACCTTAGGGTAACTAGAGTTAAGTTGCGAGAGATTCCCAGAGAGGACTGCACCTGGTTTTAAAAATAATAGATAACAAGAATAGAAAATCTGGTTTACCGGAAAGCCTTATGAACTACTATGACCTTACGATCCCAGAATTCAATGGAGGGTGGTAGAACTATGAATTTAAGTTAACACCCAGAAAAAGCTAGAGAGGTTTCTCCAGAGCATTTAGGAGTAAGATCTGCCAAATTCAGACTGAAAAATTACACAAGTTTGTGAGATATGGCTCAACATTCAGATAGAAAAGACAGTTTAGGGTCAGAAATAATCAAGAACAGTGGAAGAACCTAGATACCTGGGTACAGAAAATGGGTGCAAACAAAGAAAGTTGACTGTAGATCTCACTCAATAATCCAATTTTTCAATGCTTTGATTTTTGTTTTTTTTATCTCTAGAGAAGTGCTCTTGTAAGTTAGTTACAGAGTGCCAAGGAACATAAGAATACATGTGTTCTATGTTGAGAGAAACTGAGACATAACGAATGACTAAGAGTTACAGAGAAAAAGATATAATTGGTGTTTTTCAAGTCAACGTAATAATTTTCTTTTAAAAAGACAAAGTGGAACACCCAGAAATTAAGAAAGAGTCTGGAATATTGAAATAATTGAGTGAGGAGTATGTGTGGCAGAAAGAGTATATACCAGGTTGGTGCAGACAAGGGGAGCAATTAGAAGATGAGGCTGTAAAGATGGAAGACCAGGTTATATAGGTCCATAGAAATCATGATGCAAAGTTCGCCTTTAGTTTTTTTTAAAAAAAGTTTATATTTATCAGAGTACTAAATATACCTAGTTAATAATAAAAGTACCAAAATACTTATATTTTTAAAGACAACATTCCTATGCACAAGCTCTTTATACACTATGTTTCCTGCTCCTGGAGACAATCATAATCAACCTGATTAATTGCTCTGGAATTAACTTTACCTGTCTAAATCATTTGCCTTTAGTTGGAAGTTTTTCTGTTTTTGGTTTATCAACTCTTGGCAATGCTTATTGATTTTCTGTTTTACCACCAACTCCCTACTTTCCTTTTCCTCACCCATATTATAGTTTTGGCAAAGTTTTGTTTTGGTTTCTGTTTGGTTTTGAGACAGGGTCCTTAATCTGTCCCCCAGGCTAGAGTGCAGTGCTGTGATCACAGCTCACTGCAGCCTTGAACTCCTAGGCTCAAAAGATCCTCCCACCTCAGCCTCTGGAGTAGCTAGGATAGGACTACAGGCACACATCACCATGCCTGGCTTGTGTTTCTTTCTTTCTTTCTTTCTTTCTTTTTTTTTTTTAAAGGCAGTCTTGCTATGTTGCCCAGGCTAGTCTCAAACTCTTGGCCTTAAGTGACCCTACCACGTTAGGCTCCTAACATGCTGGGATTATAGACATGAGCCACCCCATCTGCCGTAGTTTTGGCAAAGTTCTTTATTAAAGTAATAGTTGCTCCTACAAAAACAGTATTCATTTTTAGGGTAATACTATACTGATTTTTTTATGGAAATCTTTTTGATATCCTGTAATTTATAATTGTCATAGTATCTATCCATTTGCATAGTTTTTCTTGTATCTGTCACATCTTTCTAAGTATTTATTTCATTTTTTCTCAAGTGCTCTAGCAGATCTGTCAAATGCTTAGCAGTATCTTTTCCATATGTTCAAACCCATCACTTTAAGTTATTAATTTTTTTTGACTTAGAAAACTTCCTCTCACAGTCATCCTTTTTCCCATTCTTATGTATTCAATGTTATGTTTCCTGGACCCCATATCTTCTTATTTCTTAGTTACTCCTTTTGTCAGCAGCTCTATACAAAAGGTTTACAGAAAATAAAATTGGTCCGGGAGTGACGGCTCATGCCTATAATCCCAACACTCTGGGAGGCCGAGGCAGATGAATCACCTGAGGTCAAGAGTTGGAGACCAGCCTGGCCAACACAGTGAAACCCCATCTCTACTAAAAATACAAAAATTAGCCAGGCATGATGGTGCACTTCTGTAATCACAGCTACTGGGGAGGCTGAGGCTTAAGAATCACTTGAACGCAGGAGACAGAGTTGCAGAGAGTCAGGATCCCACCAGTGGACTCCAGCCTGGGCGACAGAGAGAAACTCTATCTCAAAAAAAAAAAAAAAAAAAAAAAAAAAAAGAGAGAGAGAGAGAGAGAGATTTAAAAAAAGGATAAAGTGGTACAAGTTGCATATCCTCCCCTGAAATCTATTGAATCTACCCTAACACTTGATTGCTGATAATTTAACTGAGTACATGCTTTCAGATCAGAAATCAGTTGTCTCATAATTTGAAGGCATTTTTTATGCATTGTCTTCTAGTATTCCTGCTGAGATACAGCTACAAATCTGATGCCTGTTTTTTTATGCAATCAATTTTGGGTTTCTTGGTTTATTTCTCTGGAAGATTTTAGTAACTTTTGTTCATCACCAATATTCAGAAATTTCACAATGATTACTTTGTGTGTGTATGTTTATGCATGTCTGTGTGTGTGTAGGCACGTGTGTTTTCATTCATTGTGATGGTCACTGTGGATTCAGTAGGGAGTCATGACTCTTCATTTCTGAAAATGATTGACATTACTTACTTGATAAATTCATTCTCTTTATTAGTTTAGTTCTGTTCTCCAACATTCTTATTATTTGGATCCCCTAAAATGAAATTCAAATGTCTCATCATTTTACTTCCTATTACTTTCTCTTTTTGTGTGTTGCGATTGTTTAATATGTCTTTGATTTTACCTTCCAATGCTTCTATTGAATTTTTAATTTTTAATATATTTATTTTCTGAAGTTCTTTTTTATTTTCTTATTGATTCTTTGGAAGCAATTTATTTTCTTAAGAATGCAATCTGTTTTCTCATTTTTTGGAGGATATTCATATAGGTTTGGGGTATTTCCTTCTGTACTGTCTGTTTTCTGTATTTGCTCATTTCTTTCTTTTTTCCCTTTGCATTTACATTTTTCATATTGTCCTTTAATGTGCAGTGATCATTGATTGTCCATTGATACTGTGCATTAGAGGCTATCTGGAAATTGTTGTATGTAGATAGGGTATAGTAAAGGATTTCACCATAGATGGGGAGTTACCTTCCCACTGGGTAGAGATCCAGTCAGTACATGGAATTATTGTGTCTAGAATTGATCAGTTGCTTCAAAGAAGAGTCATTTAATTTTCTGCATGGACTGTGTGTACTGGCATGCCAGCATTCCGAAAATAGGCAGGCCGGTATGTGAACTGTCATTTAGTTTATCTATTTCCTTCTCTAGGACTCATTCTGCCCTCTATTCTGGCTGGAATTTTGAATGAGGAGCCTTCCTGGTACATTTTTTTTTTCCCCAGAAAGACTGCAAGGGAGAAAGTGGAGGAGAGTTATCTGGGATGCAATGTTGGCCCGAGAAGTTAAGCAATACACGCCTGTCTTTCGCATATTTCCATGTATCCTAGGTGTTGCCAGATGAATTGTCTCACTTATTATAAGTAAACTTCTGTGAATATAATTGAATTGTAACATGTGGCCAAATTTTCACATTTAACCAAAAGCCCAAAAGACTATATTTTATCACAGCAGCATAGTGATTAACTAAATGGTTTTAAATGGGTATTGACATGATCAGTCCATCAACAGTCTGCTAATTTTCTATTGGATTCTGCTGCAAATGATAACTAGTGACTTTACTTTGGCAATAGTATTTGACAGCAATGTGTGGTTCAACAACTGTAAGAGAGGAAATGGAGAAGGCACATAAAGAAAACTTTCTTGGGGCATTTTCTGGATGAGTGATTGTAAAATTGGTTTGGAAACTATTGTTCTAATCCAGATAGGAATTGGTAGTAGTCTCAAATAGCACAGTGGCAATAGAGAAAAGGAAGTGGACAGGATAAACAGGAGACAAAATTGAGACTGTAGTAATGGATTAGTAGTAAGTAAAAAAGAAGAATTAAAGATGACACCCAAGAAATAGGCTTAAGCATGTGGAAAGAACAGAAGGAGGAGCAAATTAGGGGAAGGGAGAAGTAATTAGGATGGAATTCTGTTCTGGCCATGTTGATTTTGACATTTCAGTTTGCTAACCCAATACAATGGTAGACTGAAGTATCTGAGACTCAGAAGAAACATCTTGGAAGAAGATAATTAGGCAGCTACCGTGAAGCCATGAGAGAGGGAAATGCAGAGAAGGAGGGAAGATGAGAAGATAAAAGGGACTGCGTGGGAACCCAGAAAAAACATAGCATTTAAAGGAAATAAAGAGATACATGAAGATCCTGGAATGAAAGAAATCAAAGATATTGGTGAGAAATCAAGAAAGTGAGAGCAAAGAGAAAGAGGTAAGCAACATGGATAAGTGCTGTTAAACAAGCCAGTGAGATAAGAACTGAAAAAAAGGCTATTGGTTTCTGAAAAGAAAAAAGAAAATCAGTGAGCTTAGCAAAAGTATTTCAGGGGAATGACGGAGGCAGCAATCAGACAGAAGTGTGTTGGGAAATTACTAGTGGGTGAGGAATTAAAAAGAGCAAAACTGATAAACTTGCAGACATTGGGATATCAAAAAAAGATAATTATCTAGCACAATAAATATTTGCAAAACCCTCAGAATCAGAGTTGTGTTACATTGACATAAACCATTATTAGTTTACTGATTAATAGTTTATGTCAGTATTAAGGAGATGTTCCATATACAAATGAAAACTGATGTTCTCATAAAATAGTAAAATATATGATATGGCTTGGCTGTGTCCTCACCCAAAATCTCATCTTGAATTATAATCTCTATAATACCCACATGTCAAGGGAAGGACCAGGAAGAAGTAATTGAATCATGGGGGTGGTTTCCCTTATGCTGTTCTTGTGATAGTGAGTGAGTCTCATGGGTCTGATGGCATTAAAAGTGTCTGACATTTCCCCTGTTTACACTCATTCTCTCTCCTGCCATCCTGTGAAGAGGTGCCTTCTGTCATAATTGTAAGTTTCCTGAGGCCTCCCCAGCAATGCAAAACTGTGAGTCAATTAAACATCTTTTCTTTATAAATTACCCAGTCTCAGGAATTTCTTCATAGCAGCATGAGAACAGACTAATACAGTAAAATTGGTACCAAGGTAGTGAGGCGCTGCTGTAAAGATATACCCGAAAATGTGGAAGTGACTTTGGAACTGGGAAACAGAGGTTGACACAGTTTGGAGGGCTCAGAAGAAGACAGATGATGTGGGAATTTTGGAACTTCCTAGAGACTTGTTGAATGGTTTTGACCAAAATACTGATAGTGATATGGACAATGAAGTCCAACCTGAGGTGGTCTCATGTGGAGATGAGGAACTTGTTGGGAACTGGAGTAAAGGTGATTCTTTCTATGCTTTATCAAAGAAAGAATTTTGCCCCTGCCCTAGAGATCTGTGGAACATTGAACTTGAGAGAGATGATTTAGGGTATTGGGCAGAATAAATTGCTAATTGGCAAAGCATTCAAGAGGAAGCAGAGCAGAAAAGTGCAGAAGGGAAATGTGGGGTTGAACCCCCAAACAGAATCTCCTCTGGGGCACTGACTAGTGGAGCTGTGAGAAGACAGCCATTGTCCTCCAGCCTCCAGAATGGTAGATCCACCAACAGCTTGGACCCTACTGCTGAAGAAGGTGAAGGCACTCAATGCCAGCCCACGAAAGCAGCTGGGAAGGGGGTGGGGGGCCTGCACCTTGCAAAGCCACAGGGGTGGACTTGTCCAAGGCCATGGGAGCCCACCTCTTGCATCAGTGTGACCTGGATGTGAGACATAGTGCCAAAGGAGATCATTGGGAACTTTAAGGTTTAATAACTGCCCTATTGGATTTCAGACTTGCATGGGACCTGTAGCTTCTTAGTTTTGGCCAATTTATCCCATTTGGAATGGGTGTGTTTACCCAATGCCTGTACCCCCATTGTATCTAGGAAGTAACTACTTGCTTTTGATTTTACAGGCTCATACGTGGAAGGGACTTGCCTTGTCTTAAATGAGACTTTGGACTTGGACTTTTGGGTTAATGCTAGAATTAGTTAAAATTTTGGGGAACTATTGGAAAGGCATGATTGTGTTTTGAAATGTGAGGACTTGAGATTTGGAAGAAGCCAGGGGCAGAATCATATGGTTTGGCTGTGTCTCCACCCAAAATCTCATCTTGAATTATAATTCCCATAACCCCCTTATGTCAAGGGTGGGACCAGGTGGAAGTAATTGAATCAAGGGGGTGGTTTCTGATGCTGTTTTCATGGTAGTGAGTGAGTCTCACAGATTTGATGGTTTTATAAGTGTCTGGCATTTCCTCTGCTTGCACTCATTCTCTCTCCTGCAGCTCTGTGAAGAGGTGGCTTCTCTCATGATTGTAAGGTTCCTGAGGACCCCCCAGCAATGCACAACTGTGAGTCAATTAAACCTCTTTTCTTTATAAATTACCCAGTCTCAATTATTTCTTCACAGCAGCCTGAGAACAAACCTAATACAACATATTTATCAATATTGTAGTATATCAATAAATGCAGTCATATAATATGCTATCTTTTGGGAGTGGCTTCTTTCAGCTAGTATAACATATTTAAGGTTTGTCCACATTGTAGCATATCCACTGTTTTGATCTTCTTTATTGGCAAATAATATTGCATTATATGGACATATCTCATTTTATTTATATAGTCATCAATTGAGGAACATTTGAGTTGTTTCTTTTTTTGGATAATATGAACAACATTGCTATGAACAATCATGTACAAGTTTTTGTGTAGACACGTATTTCCTTTCTCTTGAGTATATACCTAGATACGGAATTGCTGGGTCATAATGGTTAACATTTTGAGGAACTGTCATTTTTTTTTCCATAGTGGTTGCACACTTTTACATTCCCATCAGCAATGTTTGAGAGTTCCACTTTCTCTGCATCTCTACAACACTTATTACCTGTCATTTTTATTATACACTAAAATTAAATTGACGCTTAAGATATTAAGTAAACTAACTATGGATATACAGTTAGTGCCTATAAAAGCTGGAATTTAGCCACATGCCTTGTGCTAACTCAGAAGTCATGTTCCTTAGCACATTACTATATGGTAGCAAGCATGTTTTATTGAGACTGAAGGAAAGTTATTTTGTTTGGTTTTTTAATTCTTTGAAATTACTGGATGAACACTTATGTCTAGTAATTGTCAAAAATATTATTTTCCTCACTTATCCTAGTTGTTTAAATTAAAATGCTGAACACTTACCTTTTAGATTTTATAATTCTTGACAAGTTAAATTTCAGTGACTTCAATTATTAAAAAGAAATATGAATTAGTGGGAGCTGGTTGTAATTTGGAACCTCTTTTGTGAAAAAAACCATATTTCAAAATATTTCAAGCAGAAATATATAAAAGTTTTAGCCTATAAATTACCAGAATTTGTCCTAGTCACCTAAATAAAAAATATAAAAGTTTTACATTTTAATGGTCTTTCAACATTTTAAGAACAGTAAACCCGGCAGAAAAACAGCTCAAGTCTTAATGGAAATGATAACATGTAAAATCAGCAGCATCCACATAAATGAAAAGTCAAATTTTTATCCAACACAAAACAATTACATACTTTAATCAAACAGAAATTACCAATGGCCAATCCCAATCCCATTACTTTAAAAAAAAAAGTTCTCAAACTTTCCTTTCCAGTTGATTGTACACTGATTGAAATGGTTGTTTTATGCGGACAATTGATTTTTTTAAATGAAATGTCTAATAGTGAAGTCAGTGCATTATACCACCCATTCCAGAAAGCAGCCTTCCATTGAATTTACTCAGACAAACTAATTGCTAAATTAGATGACCATTGAAAGTTATTGAGCGTGCATCCAACACTTTCTCCTGAACCAAAAGATAACTAACTAAATCTGTTTTGATCACTACTGCATTGCTAATTCAAAATCAAGAACTGTTCGTTTCTCTGGAATATTAGTATCATAAGCCTGGGGATGTGACAATGTCATGTAATGGAGTTGTGGGGAAAGGAGTCAGAGTGTTGTGGCAATTCTCCAAAGAAGGGAAAGAGTCTATACAAGTGAAATAAGTTCACAGAATCAGCTGACATGCTACCGTCAAAGAATTTGCAATTAGCAACTGACCAATCAATTATGATTAACTCATTCGGTATGTCTATCATAGGCTATTAACAATAGGAAAGGATGTTTATAAAATTTGTTTTATAGCAAGTGATTTAATGATAAAAGCTTGGACAGTTTTCAGAATTAAAAAATTCAGAGATACTAACATTTTTTAAAACTCCTGTGATTGTGTTGTGTGTGTGTGTGTGTGTAAACACTACCTGTGTAACCATCTATTGAGATTTAAATTAGAACCTTTTCTCAGGGTATCACAGTTCTAAAGTTATATTTATTATATCGGTATCCTAAGAACAGAGTGAAAAAAAGACTAAGAGATAATTTAGCACAGCCTTTTTCTACTAAAATCAGAGTGTCTCTCATCTCTGCCTGAATACTCTCCATTGTTATTATTGGGATACATATTATAGAAAATCTACTTCTTTTGTGGATTTAAGCAATGGTTATGATTATTGCTTTCCTCACATCTAAAAATGAAATTTATATTACACATGAAGACATTTTGAAAAGAAGTTTGGGTCTCTATAAAAATGAATATTTAATAGAAACTTAATACTCTTATGTTATTTGAATTGTTAGGTTTAAGGAAATAAAATGTTTCTTAAATCTACTACTTTTAACAACACTGTAACATTTATTGGCTTTGCAATAAAATAAATCCAGAAAATTGCTGTGATATTACTTTTTCTGTTTCATATTGAAAGTAGGTAAATTAATTTCTAAGCAATGGGGCATTATAATTCTCAACTAACAGTGCTCAGCAGTTAGGATTTTAACTGCTGACATTATTTTCTTTGAAAAATGATAGATGTCATTTAGTGTTTAAAGATAAATTGCTGCAGAACTGTGACTTTTTTGCTGACAACTTTGCCATAAACAAACATAATATGACCAAGAAGTTTCAAAGTAAGTTTGCTAGGTGAGCAAATCTAAATTAAAAAGGCTCTCGCATTTCCTCAATCAGATATACTAAGATCAACCAAGTGTTGTTTTCAATCTATAATATTAAAGGGCAATTGAGTCTGACGCAAACATCTGAAAAAGTTAATGTTAACTCTTAGGAATAAGTGTTCTCCCTTTAGGAAAATCTTCACTGGCCATTGGATATACCACATTTAACATGGATGATTTTCAAAAGGACAAATATTGCCTGTTTCAGAAACAGGCTTTGGAATGCAGGAAAGTGCCAGAAAGCAACTCTGAGAATTTGCACAATGGCTGACCTGGAGAAAGATGTCAGAGTCACAGATGGAAAAGGGAGGTGCATGACTCCCCTCTGTCGCCAAGGTTCCCATTCTCAATTCAGAAGGATTTGCAGAGGGAATGAAGGAACACTGAAGTTTCTGAGATATTCCTTAAGGACCAAGCTATAGCCCACAGGTCTCTATTTACATCAGATCCCAGCTTTTTTTTGAGGGGGTGTGGAGAAGAGGGAATGTGTGCAGAATATAAATATAGGGCTTGTCCTAAATGATGAAATAAAATTAAGATTGTGTATGCTATGACCTCTCTCTAGGAAGTCTCAAAACTCCTTTTCTTTTCCCTTTTTTTTTTTTTTGACAGAGTCTTGCTCTGTCACCCAGACTGGAGTGTAGTGGCACAATCTTGGCTCACTGCAACCTCCATCTCCCGGGTTCAAGCGATTCTTCTGCCTCAGCCTCCCTAGTAGCTGGGAATACAGGTGCACGCCACAATGCCCAGCTAATTTTTGTATTTTTAGTAGGCATGGGGTTTCACTATATTGGCCAGGCTGGTCTCAAACTCCTGACCTCGTGATCCGCCCACCTCGGCCTCTCAAAATGCTGGGATTACAGGTGTGAGCCACCAGGCCCAGCCAAAACTTTTCTTATAAATTGTCTTCTAACTAAAATATTTCTTTTGGCCGTCCTTGGAGTACTCCCAGGTGACACCCAGCTCAGGCTAACATTTGTACAGGACAGTTACCTTGGTCTCTAGAGAGCCCAATGATGTTTTATACCAGTATGTCTCAGGATCACTGCCAAGCTTCCACCCACACATTTAACATGAAGAGAAAGCTGACACTTCTTGTTAGCTTTAATTTTCCTTGAGAAAAACGTGGCAATATGTATCAAAATACAATTGTTAAGGAACATATTGTTAGTTTCAACATGTAGAATGTATTACAAGGAAAAAAAAGATGCCAAAAATATTTTACGTCTACTGATATTCCTATTAGTCTTTATTATCATAAAAAACTGGTCACAACCTAAATATCCAACTTTAGGTGACTGAGTGAAGTAAAACTGTAATCTTTCCATATGATAGGATAATATGCCAGCACCAACAACCAGATAGCAGAATATTTAATGCCACGGAAAAGTATTTGTTTTGTGTGGTCAGGTGAGCAGTTCATGTCACAAAATCAAATGTACCCTATGATCTTATTTTTTTAAGTGAAGTGCTGATGTATTTATATGTATAATTAAGTATAGAAAAAAGCCTAGATGCCTTCTCTTGTCTTTTTCATTGTTTTATAAATGGTATCAATATTTATTTTTCACTTTTTCCATCAGATTTCCTAGAATAATAAAATTCAATTCCTTCTGATGAGCATTCATTATTCTTTGTTGTTGTTGTTGTTGGGAGACAGAGTCTCACTCTGTCTCCTGGAGCTAGAATGCAGTGGCCTGATCTCAGCTCACTGCAGCCTCCGTCTCCTGAGTCATTATTCTTACAGTAAGAAAAAAATTAATGTTACAAAGTATCTTCTCTGTCCTAGATCAACTGTCTAAGTATATACAAGGTGCCCAATACATTTAATAAAATGTTTTATCCATTCATAGGTTTTTGCAATACAATTTTTTGTATGATTCCATTGTCTTACAGTCTCCATTAATAGTTCTGGTGTGAATTTATACTCTAAAGGAAAGGTGACAACTTTATACAATCTCAGGGCTTAGGTACTATCCACACTCTGTGCTTACAAACATACACTTCCAGTTGTGTGGTCTCCCTGAGTTCTGCACATTCCTCTTGGGTATCTAATAAGCATCTCACATTTAACAAAACCACTGATTTTTAATCAATCCCAGGAACCCTCCGCCAGACCTACTCTTCTCTTAGAATTCCTTTTAACACTTAGTGACACTATCATCCCACCAAACCTTGCTATCATCCTTCTTCTATCTCCCAGAGTTCCAATCCATTAACAAATCCCAATAACCCCGCTTCCAACATTTGTCTAAATCTATGCACTTCTCAGCGTATCCACTCTTATTATTCTAGTTCCAGTTATGTGGTCTTCTGTCTGTACCACTTCCTTTTTTCATTCTTGCATGCAGGGTCCATTTTTCATAGTGAAGTCCTCATAAAACATAAATTTTATCAGCTTTCTGCTTGCAGTTTTTATTTATTGATTTATTAAAGTTGTGATTATTTATTTATTTATTTTGAGATGGACTCAAGCTCTGTCACCCAGGCAGGAGTGCAGTGGTGCCATCTTGGCTCACTGAAAGCTCTGACCCTGGGTTCAAGCGATTCTCCTGCCTCAGTCTCCTGAGTAGCTGGGATTACAGGTGTGAGCCACCATGCCCGGCTAATTTTTGTATTTTTAGTAGGGATAGGGTTTCACCATATTGGCCAGGCTGGTCTCAAACTCCTGACTTCAGGTGATCCACCCTCCTCGGCCTCCCAAAGTGCTGAGATTACAGGCATGAGCCACTGCACCCAGCTAGCTTCTGCTTACAGTTTTTAAATGACTTCTTAGCCACTTAGGAGAAAATATAAACTCTTTACCAGAGCCTACTGGACTCCCCAAAACATGAGGTATGTTTATCTCCTCCCTTTAACTCACCCTGTTTTAGCTGCATGGCCTTCTGTTCTCTGAATAAAATAAACTTATTCCTGCCACAAGACCTTTGCGCCTACTTTTCCTTCTGCCCCAGACACAGTTCTCACAGGTTTTCCTGTGACTCCTTTCTTCTCCTTATTCAGAATCAACCCAAACATCTCCCCCTGAGTGGCCTCCACCAGCACATTCTTCTTAAATATCTTTCCCTACCTCATCCTGTTTGGTTTGTTTATAACATGTGTCAGCTACAATACTGGTTTTATTTGTTTATTTACTTTTTTCTTATAACATAAAGCCCATGAGAGCAGGGTTGTGTCTGCTTTATTCACAACTTTAACCTCAGTGCCTGTACAGAACCAGGATCATACTAGAAACTCAATGAGCATGTTTGAGTATTTTGAATGAATTATTAAAACATTAAAAAGTGACATTTTCCAAGTAAAAATCTTTATCTATTTCCTTAGTGACTCTAATTGCAGACAATTCAGGGTAGAAATAAGGTTCAGATCAATGGCAGGCCGAGAAAGGCCTTTTTGGGTGAGTGTATGCAGGCAATTTTTGCTATTATGGCTGACTTACTTCCATATTCTTTAATATAGGTACGTCCCTATGGTGAGAGATGGCATTTTTCATAGCACAAAGGTGGAAAGTAAATTTAATATCTACTATAATAAAAAATAAAGTAAATTTTATACAAACACTAAGAAGTGATCATCTAAATCTATAGACTAGGATCTGAAACCTATTCCTATGTCGACGTCTTCCATGGCCCTACTCCTAAATTAATAAATTCTCACTTACGGAAGGCTATTTTCTGAATCCTTTCATAGCTGACATTGTGGAGGTGCTGTTAGCCATCCCTTGATATTGACAGTACAATAGCCATCCCTGCCAGGGCACGTGTACATTATCAGTAGTCAAAAGTTTGGCAAAGTAAAACATTTCTCTTCATCTCCAGGAGAGCAGTTTATGAAAGAGCATATTCTTAGGCATTAAAGGTGAATGTTTCAGTGACACCTGTGCAAGACATAACTTTCTGCTCTCCTCTATAAAAATCTAAATTTTGATCATATAATTCTAGTAGACCTTAAAAGGATAGACCTCAAAGGTAGCATTGTATTTGATATTCTCTTGCAACCCCAGAATGAAACTTAAGCATGAATAATTGGCCATCTTCACATTCCTAGAAAGATTAAAGAATGGGACTCGAGTTCACACAGAAGCTAAAAAAGAAAGGTAGGATGACTTCCCTCTGCCCCCTTGAAAAGGCTATGGCTTTGAAACCTACAAAACCAGAACTGGCAGAGGAGGGGGGTGGTGTTTTGCTGAATGGGCAATAAATATGTGAACCCTCCTCCTAAGGGTTTCTATAATCCTTTTTATATTGGGTATCTATGTGTTCTTCTCTGTAAATGTGTTTTTTTTATAACTGTGCACTTCTTATGGAACAGCACCATCTTTATTATCTGTAATAGGGTTTCCGTTCTGCTTTCATCCTGTGCATATCTTATAAAAACAATCTGAATAAATGCCCAGTTAATATGTATATTTATGTATTTATAAATTATATGTATGTGCTATTGCACTAATATATTACATATTTTATATACCTTACTACAACCAAAGTAATATAAAAGAATGAGACTGAATAAATATACACTTAAGGTCTGTTTTTTCTTCCTGCACCCTCTGTGAAATGCTTATCCCACTTAAGAAACCACTAAGATTTCACCGTGTCCTCACAGTGAGATTGTACTCACTCCTCAATGAGAGGAGCTGATTAATATTAAAGCTCTTTTGGTTTTATTATCAATTATGCACTCAAATTTTCAAATAATCTAGATGTACATATTATACTATAGTGGACGATACTGTGAGGTACCAACTGGACCAGCTCAGCAGAGGCTGGGAGGTTTAACTCATCGGTAGTCATGATACCACTTTTCTCTTAGACTTTTCCAATAGAATTTATTTTGGGTTTTGCCAGCCAGGGCGAGAGATCTGTTTTCTACAGGTATCAATGGTAGAATAAGCATTGTTGCCTCGCAGAAGGGAGAAATCTATGGTATTGGACACCAACCCCCATGTCCTTCTTACATATCCTTTCCTTGAGATATAGGGACTCTTGTGAAAATGGGAACCTAAGAACTGGCTCTGCATAAACTTAAGCTTTGTCTTTGCAGAACAATTATGAGAAGTCTACTACTGACTCTTGAATATGTTGTATGCAATAAAAACTCTGTACTATTCAGGTATTGTTTCTGACTCATGATACTAGAAATAAATATCAACTACCCATACAAAGTTTTGCTTAGGAAAAATGAAAGTATGTTCAAATATAAATTTTTGAAAAATGACTAATAACTAAAAAAAAAATAGCCTTTCTTACCCCAAACATCAATAGATGCAGAATGGAGGGTAATATTTACAACATGCAACATAATGTTTGGTTCTAATTAATAGACTATTTCAGTGAAATATTACTTTGATAAATATGCTCATGCTTCATTTGCCATGTATTAAAAACAGCAATACACACTACTTGATGAAAAACATTATTGAAGATAAAACAGAAATATTTCATAAACAACCATTAGCTAGATTATAAGATAACATATAAAAGGTGTTATAGGAAATAAATATTATAAATACATATTATTCATCTATGACCTAACTTATATTGAAATGCTGCAAAACCTTCACAGTAACATTCAGAGAATTACCTGAAAGATAACTCTGGCAACTTCTATGGTCTTATATGTGTTTTCTTTAATGGTCACAGTGATTCCCATGTTCAAACTTATTCACTGAAGACAAAGCATATCCTGAGATTCTCATTATGAAATGCTGAGGCTGAGGCTTGCTTTTCACAGATACAGATTGTCCAGTATTAAAATATCACTGCATATTGACTGCATCCAAAAATCATGAAACTAAATATTTCCAAATGTCCTGATACAAAAAGTGTGTTACAATATTTTAGGTAGGATTATCTGACAGGATTAACAAATTTATCAAATATAACAGAAAGTAACCACTTATTATTTATGACTGAGTATACTAATAAATATAGGATCAGGACTTACCTGAACAACATGCTTCAGTTTATCAATAATCTGATTTATCACAGGATCAATTCCTTTGACTTTGACTTCAGGATTTCCAGACTGGGCTTTGATTCCATTTCCAACCACACGCTGAGTATAACTAGCAAGGGAAATGTGAAAGATATGACTTAGTACCTGATCAGGGTATTATCTGTCACAGCTATCTGAACATATTTGAGGTCGGAATTTCCTCCTTTAGAGAATACACCAATGTATTTTTCTCTTGGAACAGAAACTGGCACAGCTGTAATGTTTTTCCAGGAAAAATGCTAAAATGCTTATCGTGCCATTAGATCAATCTAAAAATAATGTTATTCACTCAATGGACCCAACCAGAAATTACTTGTTTTTTGATACTACTTAACAATATGCTACAAAGAGTTAATATATATCTCACTTTGTTACCAGGTCTTGCTGAATTATACATATGTCCACACTCATATTGTCTGAGTCAGCTTATTTTATGCAGTCCTTATCTTATTTTTTAAGTATTAGGCTACTACATATATACTATATATATATATATATATATAAAGAGAGAGAGAGAGAGAGAGTAGCCTAATATATCTATATTATATAGTAGTATATACTTGTATATATAATATATATTATATATATACATGTACATATATCTTAGCCTAATATATATTATATATATATTTCCTAATTAGTTCCTCCAAGTAATAAGTGATTAAACTTTTTAATAATGATAATATCAATTGGACATGATAAAAATAGTTTTATTAATAAATCTTTTGATTTTTAAAATAAGCTTGAACACATTTCTTTTTGTAGGCATAGAGGGACTTAGAGTTAAGAATTCTAGTATCCATTAGGGATTTGGCAGTATACATCAATAACAAACAGTAGAAGGAAAACAATTATACCTATGTTATTAATGTGTAATAATATTCTTTATTTTTGAAAAATAAAATTATACATATATATATGGCACATCACTTAAATCCTCTGTGGCACTGTTATGTTATTCTTTACTCTTCCAGTATTCCAAGCAGATCACACATGTGGCATATATATATATATAAAATATATAAAAAATATATAACTGTACAAGGCAATATCATAAACCATAACTGTACAAATTTAAATAATCAAATTTTTAAGCAACTAAAATCTGCAAAATATTTTCTAAGTAGAGGAAACAATCCACTTTCACCTAGGTTCACCTAAACAAAGATCTGGTAAATCATGTCGTATGTAAAAGGGTCATTTCACCGGTGGTGAAAGCCATTTGAAATTTCACTACCTTCCCCAAATTACAATCATATAATGTCAACTTAGAATTAATAAAAATATTTAAACTCATTAGTCACAAAGATGTCTTAAATGCATGCTATATTCCAAGTCCTATACTAGGTGATTAGGATTATAAGAAGGTGTAAGACACAATTTTTGTCCTCATAATGCTCATTACTTAACCAGGAATATAGTAATTAACTCATTCATTTGTATGTTTATTCATTACATTTTATTACATTTTTAAAAAACCATAGATTTCAGCAATATAAATACTCTTATTTGCCTGGCAGAATAGTGTAATATAAACACAACTGAACAGTTAAAATACAACATTATGAAAGTAGCTGGAAGGAAATGCACATGCCAAGTGTGAGGAAAGATAAGACAAGTAGTAGACATTCTGGATATGGAGAAATCCACGTGGACTTAGACTAGGGAAAAACTGAGGGAGAAATTGTAACTTGAAGTAGCCTTTGATGTATTGAGGTAAGAAGAGGACAGCTGTGGTATGGTTAACGAGAACTTCAGGGCAAAGGATGTCATCCCAGCAAGGAAAATGGCAAAGGTATGTGAACAAAGCAGACAGGGAGAACGGGCCTCCATTCACAAAGCAGAGAGTACAAATGGTGGAAAGCAATGGATAGGAGGTCACACCCCGAAGATTCTACCCTGAATGTTTAAGACTCTCCATTGAGTGATACAATGAACTCTGGAGACTCAGAACAGGGACGTTGGCAGGGGGGGTGAGGGATAAAGAAACTACATGTTTGGTACAATGTACACTACTCAGGTGACACGTGCAATAAAATCTCAGACTTCACCACTATACAAGTCATCCATGTTGCCAAAACTACTTGTGCTCCAAAAACTATTGAAATTAAAGAGACATTTTAAAATGAAAACAAATACTATCATCTGAGTAATTTGTTTGCTTACATTAAATATCATAATACTTTTCAGCAAAAATATTCTCATTTTAATGTAACTTTCCTTCCCTATATTTGAGCAGAGTATTGCACTATCCATAAACACCCTCTGAATTTTTACAGAAATTGAAAAATCTTTGAAGAAAATAAAAGAAGGTTCTATGTTTGAGATTATGGCTATATTAAAGGGGTTTCAATAAATATCCAGTTCTTCCTGAGATAATATACTTCCAGTGACCAGTTTTAAGAAGTGGATCAAACATTTCCTAACTAGGTCCTTCAAGTAATAATCAGTGATTAAACTTTTTGATAATGATACTATCCATTGGACATGATAAAAATGATAATATTAACACATCTTTTGATTTAAAATATAACCTTGGACCCACTTCTTTTTGTAGGCATGCAGGGAGTTTAGAGTTAAGTATTCCAGTATTCATTAGGGATTTGGCAGTATACATCAATAACAAATAGTACAAGGAAACCAATTATTCTTTATTTTAGAAAAATAAAATTTTATACTCATATATATAAATAAATATATAGAGAGAGATAGAGAGAGAAAGAGAGTAACCATCTCTTAAATTATCTGTAGCACTGCTGTGTTATTCCTTATGCTCCCAATATCCTAAGTAGATTGCACATGTGGCTGTTTTATTAATGTGTTGAATATTTGTAATGATAGTGAATAATATGAATAAATAAATTGATAAGTGCATAATTATGATTTAGGCATTGCTTTACTCTATCTGGAGTTTGTCAATTCATGATAAACATCTTTTGGTGACCATGAATAAGAAACTCATAGACCTCAAAGTACGGGAAGTCTGACTGATTTAAGGCCATTTGCTGCTTCACTCTAAAATCTGTTTCTGCATTTGCCCCTCAGTCAATGACTGAGGGCAGCAAGATTGCTAATGCAGATCCCTCATTAGGAGACACAGGGCTTCTCTGAGGACCAGGCTTGGCTCAGGATTCCCTGAAGACTTTTCTTACCCTTCCTTAGACTGTACTTCATGCTCCAGTGCTTCCACTCAACCTTCGTTTCCTCTTTTCTTCACTCTAGGTCAGACTTTCCTCACAGCTGAGAGCTCTTCCAGGCTTACTCAGCTTCCTCTCCATTTTCTCTCATAGGAATTTCCCTTAATAAAATCCTCTTGTGTTTAACCCCTTTTTAACATCTACCTCTTGGAGGACCTGGACTAACCCACCATGTAATATTTGTATTATAATTACTCCCATTCTACAGCTGGAGAATCTGGGATCTGGAAAGGTTAAGTAACTTGAGTTACTCAAATAAGGCCACACTATATACATAAAGTGTGCTGCAAGGAACACACACTCCAAAATACAACCACCAATAAGTATCAATCCTGAAACCGACTAAGAAAAGGTAAAGATATAATTAGCTTGGTGCAAAATGTTATTTTTTTCTCTAATTACATTTTCTAAGGTTTCATTGTTTCTAATTAAGAAGGCATGTGTGATTTTCTTCAAAATCCTCCTCAACAAGCCAGGTGTGATGGCATGAGCCTTTAGTCCCAGCTACTCAGGAAACAGAGGCAGGGGGATCATGGGAGCCCAGGAGATTAATGCTGCAGTGAGCTGTGATCACACCACACTGACCATGTGACCATGAGTATAAAACTCACAGACCTCAAGCCTGGGCAACAGAGCAAGACCTGCCTTAAAAAAAAAAAAAAAAAAAAAGAAAGAAAAGAAAGTAAAACTAAGCAAAACAAAACAATCCTCCTCAACAAATGGTTGCATGTAACCAGCTAAACAGTAATATAACTGTTGTTGGCAGGGTGAGAAGAAACTAGCAGACTGTAGGTTTGCCGTACAGTGTTTCTGTTTCTCCAGAAAATACAGACATAATATAGGCAATGAAAACTGAGACTCTTTTCTTAATTTTAATTAAGCTATTAATTGATTTACATCATTTACTTACAGGCCAGAAAAGTTTCTTTAAAAAGGCAGGAATGTTGTTTCATGTTAATCTAAGGAATTGCTTACCTGCTTACCTTTTGGTTTTGTTCTTAATTATCACAGCTACTAATACAGTAAAATAATATTTAGATAAAATGTATTATAATTATAGCTGATAAAAATCTCATTCCAAGCTGTTATATTATTGAATATTTCAGAGTCACTCTTCTTATGAGTCATATAAATAAGGAAAAATACTGCAAAGTAGACACACATTACTTCAAATGAAATGTGATTTAATAAAATCAGTTATTCTCTTCCAGTTTTGTAATGTTCAAAATAACCACAATTGAAATAGTGATACATACACATCAGAACAGTTCAAATAAAAAAGAGAAATGATACCAAGTGTTGGCAAAGATGTGGAGCAACTGGAACTCTCTCCCACTGTGGATGGAAATGTAAACTGACGGAAACCACCATTTCCCACGTATGCTAAATCTAACCATATTCTATGACCTTGGGCATATACCCAACAATATTTACCAAAAGACAGATACATGAATGCTCAGAGAAGCACCTTTCAAAATAACCACAAACTGGACATTTATTATATTTGTATAATGATATAGTATATAGCAATGAGAACTAATGAATTACAACTATATGCAAAAAGATTGACAAATCTTATAAACTAAATATTGAATGAAAGAAGCAAGATACAGAACATATTCTATGATCTAATTTACTAAAAATTTTAAAACGAATCAGTTATGTTCCAAATCACCACAAGAGCTACCCTATGAGATAGTGTCTAGAAGAAATAATATCAAGTTTCCTGATTTTAGTATTGGATACACAGAAGTGCTAAGTTTGTTAAAAAAAAAAAAGTACTGAGCTGTACAGTTAAGATTTGGGTGTTTTACTGTTTGTATGTATTTTCAGCCTTATAAAATTATGTTAAAAAGCCTCTATGCTCTTTTTCTTAATATGTTTACAATAGACAAATTTTCATTGAGCCACAGTATAAATAAAAAAGACCCACACAGGTATGTTTAACATAGACTAAGTGGTCTGTCGTCATTAAGTGAGTACTTTAGGATCTAAGTCTGATATAAAACCTCACTTCCCTGAAGGCTTTAATTTGCATGCAAAAAAACATGGTTTCTAGATTAAATTTTTTTGTAACCAATAATTTTTATTTGAGTTCCCCTCGTGACATTTTAATAAATCATTAATTCCTTCTTTTTCTTTTTAAGGTACAAGTAATGGATAAAACATTTCAAAGATCCCTACAGAAGTCTCTTGACTTGAAATATTGTTCACATTACAATGAAAAGGATGGAATAAAACCAAAAAATATAGACAGGCAGATTTTTTGTTGGGGAAGTAATAGACCCACCATCTGTGCTTCTTTCTTCTAAGCAGAGCTGGGAATGAGTGACAGCAGTTGAACAGGAATACTTGCTCCCCAAGCACTACTTGTTTTTCATTAACAAGGAAAAAAGGCAAGCCCTGATATATTTACATTCTACAAAATTGTTTTTAAATGATGATAACAAGATCTTAGTTCCCTCTCTGTTGAACATATAAAATTTTAAAAGGCATTGTAATAAATTTATATACAGCACTTCAGGAGGAAGTCATTTCTCCTGACTTTACCAGCTTGTCCTATTTGAAACTGATACCATGCCCTATTGGCTGATAGTAATTTCACTTTATTTAGAATACAATAGAATTTGGCTCAGATTCACACCAAAAGTATAGTATTCTGATGTGCACTTACACAGTTTCAGGGGAAACAATATCTGGAATCTGACCCTGGAATTCATTACAAATCAGTTACAGGGGTCTGTCTTGGAATTTTTTGATAACTGGACTGGGACAGAATGTAAGAATAAATCATTAATAGTAGATGAGGAAAACACTTGATGAGAGCTTTCTTGTTTTACCTTTATTGCTATTTCTATCGGGGGTTAAAAAGAGAATGGGGGCCATGTTGTGGTTGTTATTCTTGTTGTTGTTTGATTGGTTTGTTTATTATGTTCTTGTATGACCTGGTTATGTGGCTGGATATTAAAATTCTTTCCATTTCCAGAGTCATAAATCTCCTAATTTCTAGGAGATTAAACACTGGTTTTATCTTTGGCTCTGGTAAAAATGTTGCTATCTTGGCTTAAAAGGAGGTCTGGGAAATATGTTGTATCTATTCATCAGTGAAGGTGAACTGCTTCTACAAGAACAAATTTTCCATACAAACCATTTCTAGGCCTCCCTTCCTGGTTCTGACAGCAAATGTGAAAGCAAGGACTAGAGATTTGGTTTTTGTAAGTTTCCTCAAATACTTGGGAAATACTGGATTCCATTGCCAAGTGTTGACTTTTGTACACTCAACTTGTACACAGCACTTTTTCTCTATGTTGAAAGTCCTAATCTTTGAAATCTCAGAATGGAAAAGAGTTATATGATTGATTTTATGTGCCAGGTTTATGGGACTACCTTTCATGGAAGATAGGAGGCTTACAGGGGATTTAGAGAAAGGAGACATCTGTGGAATCAATTCAAAATGATTAAGCCTTTTGTGATCCCACTATCTCACTTCAATTGTTGAGCCACAAAACTACTTTTAAGTTAATCTCTAACATTAATTTGGCTTTATAATTACATATAAATAATGTCTAAATTTGACACCTATGTTTTTAAACTTAATAATGAAGTCAAAATAAATGGAATTAAGGAGAGCTTATTATGATCTTTATTGTTATTTATATATAACAAATTTCCTATTAAGAATATAATATTTTATGATATGGATGTCATTAACATTAATAAAGATATTATCATGCTTTGTACAGCAACCAACCTGAAAATTTTACCATCCCACTGCAACAAATATAATAAAAACATGTTCAGAAAGACTTAGAAACTCATTAAAGAATGGATATTAATCACTGTTCACCCTAACTCCTGATTTGGCAAGGCGTGAATCTACGCATGCCAGTTTAGTCAGGTGGCAGGTAAGTAGTCCCATTGCATTTCATAAAATAAGCATCTGTGTGAATTTGAAAGATAATATTTTCACATGAAAAACTAATGACTGCACACGTAAAATCAGTAGTGTTTTGGAAGCTGTCATTTCAAAAAAAATTACCTACCTAATTAAAAAGTAGCACAAATGAACTTTTGCCTACGTAAAAAAATAGAACATTGCTTAGCCTTTTCTTAAACCCCTCCCCAATCTTACCAAGAAAGGATAAATACGTTTTTTATAGTCAAAGCTCTGTTTTTATGGTTTTAAATTTTTTAATCAAAAATTCAAAGCAAATGATAATAAATCTTTAATTTATAATTATCCTAATTTGATTCAAAGTGACTGTCCAAATATGAAATGATCAATTATAACTATAATCAATTACCAATAATGCTATACGAGTTTGAAATGTTATACTAACTTGCCTTTTCCAGGAATGCATTTTAAAATTAAACTCCTCTCAGTAAGATCAAGGCTATCCTTCATGGATTTATGATGATAGATAATCACCACTTTGTACTGATTTGCTGTCTCACTTCACTGTTTGATACCAACATATGAAAGTAAATATGCTATTTAGGGGAAAACTGTTATCTGAGTACTAATAAATTAAATGCTATTTTAAGCCAACAACAAAATGATTTAGAGTACAAATTTTATTTAACCAACTTTTCATTAGAAGCATTATAAAATTCTGAAAGATCCTAGAATCTTATATAGCTTTTTTGTATTTTTTTCAAATGTAATTGACACAAGCACGAATTAAATTTCATATTTAAAAAGCTTCTGGCTACATTAAAATATACTTTAAAATTACTTGCAAGATACGATAATTCTAAGATTACCAACATATCATGCAAATGAAACACCTAGATACTTCCTACCAACACATGATATAATAAAACCAAGAAGAACTTCTGAATTAGAATGTAGTAGTCGCCTAGGGCCATCATACCTAATTATCACAAACTTGGTGGGTTAAGAGGACAGAAATATATTCTCTCACAGTTCTGAAGCCTGGACCTCTGAAATCAAGATGTTGGCAGGGCCATACTCCCTCTGAAGACCCTCAGGAGGAATCCTCCCTTGCTCCTGGCAATCCTTGGCCTTCTTTGATTTGCGACTGCATAACTCCAATTTCTGTCTCCATCTTCACATGACCTTCTCCGTGTGTGTCTTTTCCTGTGTCTTATAAGGACATTTACATTGGATTTAGGGCCCACCTTCATCCAGGATGACCTCATCTCAATCCTTGAGTTAATTATATCTGCAAAGACCCTACTTCCAAATAAGTCGCATTCTAAAGTATCTAGTGGACATAAATTTTGGAGGTACAGTATTTAAATCATTACACAGAACATTGTAAAGACAAAAATCTGGAAACTACCTGAATGAAAACAGATATTCCCTTGAACTTCAACAAAAATCATATTCTATTTTCCCATGAGAAACATTTTATTACTGTAAAACAATATTTATATTTCACAAGTACACCTCTTAAATTGTAGCTTGGTTTTTAACTTTTATGTTTTTACTCTAATTCAGTTGGCCACAAGAAAAATAATTAGCTTTGGAAATTATCAGTACATGATATCTAGTATTTCCTATATTTTTAATAACTTCTACCTCCTAGCAAAAATGATGCAATGGACAATTTCTGTGTTCTAAGTTCACACACACAAACAGGAAAGGCACTTCAAAAATGATTTGTTCTCTTCTAAAGCAGAAGCCCAACCACCTGCTCTGAATCTAAAAGTTTCCCAAAAGCAATGAAGGGCTAGTTTATTATGAAGGTGTTGATAGCTGATTCTGTGGAGACTCACACAGAAACAAAGAATAAATTTTAATCACACTTAATGCTAATGTGATAGTAAGGTTGTGACAATATTCAAATATGACCAATTTCATTAAATTAGCTACACTCAGGCTTAGCTTAGTTGTCCAAATTTATTATAAATAGCTCAGAAGAAATAATTCAGCTCTTCTGTTTTCTATTTCTTATTTTTTGTTGATGCTTAAGAGTAAAAAGATATTTTAACTGAATTTTTTTTTCTTAGCAATCAGTTCTCTTATTTTATCACCATAAGAATGTAAGGGGCCGTAACAGGTCACAGAATCTAGCACTGCCTTCAACAAGAAATACACCTAGAGCAGGAATATAGTACTTGGCATTCATCTTTAGGCCTATAACCTAATAGATTTTTTTTTTGTCTGTCTTTGGTGACAGTAACATAAATTTAGAGCTGGAAAGGATCTTAGAGGTCATCTAGTCCCACCCAAGCATCTTTTAAAACAAAATAAAGAAGTATGTTTATTTCATCATTTTGTACTTATACACTGTGTATTTCCAGAAAAGCCTTTGAGACCGCTTAGAATAAAAGGCACAAGCACTATAAAACAAGGGCAAAATGACAGAATAATGAAAAGGAGGAGGTGACAATTATACGCGAAGACCTAGGGAAGGAAACACTACCCTTCAGCCTAATATTTAGTCCTAAGCCTCTTGTTACTGAAGGCCAAAAGGAAAACCAGAATGCAAATATGTGTCATTAGTTAATAAAATAGTATCTGCATATTGTCAGCAGCTATTTTTTGGTAACTCTAAACTCTTAAGCAAAATTTATAAGTCTTTAAGCAACAGACAATGGACAATATAATAAAACAATCTTCAACAGCAATTTCAAAACTTTTAAAGATGTAAGTACAAATAATCTTTTCTTATAGGATGCTTTGTTGAAAGCTGCCTGCATGATGGTATTTTAAATTACATGATGTTAAATTGCCTGCATGATGGTATTTTACTGGGACCTGGTTATATGACTTGGTGAAGAATATAATCTTTGATAACTTAGAAGACTGAATGGTTAATATCTCTCTGAATTGTTTTTGTTTGTTTCTAATTGATATTTTATTTTATCCCTCATAGAGAATATATTTTCTGGGAAATACACTGAAGTACAGTAAAAAAAGAAGCTCACAGTTAAAGTGTTGAGGTAAATCACAAAGCAGAGGTTGTGTCTGAACTGTGTGGTCGCACTGCACCACACAGCAAATAGAAATATGGGGGAGCACTTTACCAGCAGATAAACACCAATGAGAGTGGGAACAGCAGTCACGAGATGTGTTTTAACAGAGAGATAGTTAATTAAATGTTTTCTAATACATTTATTGAACCTACATTTAATGGAATTTTTTTCCTTTCTTCACTTTGGCAAATGTGCATATTTTTATAGAGAACACAGTTTTACAGATGTAATTTTCAGACTTTAAGTCAGGCCCATCACCAACGCTCTATGAATTGGATGGCCTTGATATGTGGTCCAGGTATTTTTGAATCAGGGATGGGAGCCTATCCAACAAGTCAAAAGCTGATTTTTGTAGCTTTCATTATGAACACCTCTCTGACTGCTCTTCTTTCTGACTTTACCAAACAAATTACTTAGGATTCTTAAGTGCCAGGCATATTATTAACATAAGGACTAAATAAATTTTAAAAAGAAATGCATACACATGCACAGGCGCACACACACACACACACACACACACACACACACAGCATTCTCTATATTTACTTCTACTTTGAATAGCAAAAAAGCTGTGTTCCTGGGCCTGTGGAAAAAATATGAAGTTTGAAAAGATTTGTAAATAACTTTTTCTTAATGAAAACAACCCTGTAGTAATTACTATTTTAAAAAAATATTGGAATTTGAGCATAACACAGTTTCAATCTTGTCTCTATTCCAACTTAAAGTCCTGTCCAACAGTTCCATTTTATGGTCTGTGGAATCATAAAATAAAAATTTATATATTTTAAAGTATTTGATGAAAAAGGAGGAGGAGGGGGAGGAAGAAGAGGAGGAGGAAGAAGAAGAGGAAGAGGAGGAGTTGGGAAAATAACTGGGATTCCTGTTCTTGCCTCACTTTAACTACACTACAGCCAAATTCCTACTATCAAGCAGTCCTCAGACAACAATCTACGTATGTAACAGAAATTAATTTGTGTTCGCTTGTATATATGAGAAAATTGCTCCTCCAGCTATGTCTTGGCAAACTCAGTTACACAGAAAACAGCAGGACTTGGTTCCATAAAACTACATGTGCCTAGGGACTTTTAGATTCCTAATAGTGGTAATTACTAACAAACATATTTGGCTGACTCAGTATAGGAAAAATGTGCATATACAGGATTTCAGAAGACCTCTGGAGTCTAAATAGAATGGAAGTTTCCGGTCTAGATGACCTAGAGATTCCACACCTACAGAGACATTTGGCCAATCTCCCCTTCATCCTTCATACTTCCCCCGTTCTCCTTTCTCAGTCCTTTCATGATTTCTGCCAGGTCCGTCAGTGTTTACATACTCTGTCCCCCATGTCTGGAAAGTTCTATCCCTTCGGAACCTTTCCTCAGTCATCTGTACTAAGCTTACAAAGGGGGTTTACAGATGTGATTAAATTAAGGGTCTTAAAATAGGGGGCCAGTGCGGTGGCTCATGCCTGTAATCCCAACACTTTGGGAGGCGGAGGTGGCTGGATAACGAGGTCAGGAGATTCAGACCATCCTGGCTAACACGGTGAAACTCCATTTCTACTAAAAATACAAAAAGTTAGCAGGCCTTGGTGGCACGTGCCTGTAGTCCCAACTACTCAGGAGCCTGAGGCAGGAGAATTGCTTGAACCCGGGAGGTGGAGGTTGCAGTGAGCTGAGATTGTGCCACTGCACTCCAGCCTGGATGATAGAGCGAGACTCTGCCTCAAAAAAAAAAAAAAAAAAAATTAGAAAAAATTTTAAATGGGGGGATTATCCAAGATTATCTGGGCAGGCCCTAAATACAATCACATGTGTTCCTGTAAGGCTGAGGCAGAGGTCATTTTTTACAGACAGAAATGGAGAAGACAATGGGACCACGGAGGCAGAGATTGGAGTGATGCTGCCACAAGCCCAGGAATGCCAGAGCTCAAAGAGGTGAGAAATAGATTATCTCCTAGAACCATTAGAGGGAGCTTGGTTTTACAGACACTTTAATTTCGGCCCAATTACACTGATTTCAGATTTCTGATCTCCACAACAGTAAGAGAACAAATTCCTGTAGATTGAAATCACTCCGTTCATGATCGTTTGTCCTAGCAGCCACAGAAAACTAATACCACCCCCAAACTGGAGCATCCTTTCTAGGTTACTTGCTCTCATTTGTGCAGTTTGTCAGAATTGAAATGGAGCAGCTTTAAAGTCATGTTAAAGAAAAAAAAAAAAAGAAAGAAAGAGAGAAAAAGATAAAACCTGACAACAGAGCCGGGAAGGCCAAAAGGGATGGTTCTCATGCAAGTATGCCTGGTAATAAGAACCATCAGAAATGACTACAAAAACTACAAGCTTGCAAAAAGGTCTTTGTAGCCTTACACAAAAAAACATTTCTGTGAGAATATCTGCCCAGAGACTGCTTGTCCAACCTCAGCACCTTGTAGTCAAGGGTAATTATCTCAAAACAATTACATAGTCTTCCTCATTTTTTCTTTATAAGCCATTGTCTTCCTTTAATTCCTGTATATACACACACAGTTCACTGTGGCACATGTATTCCCAAGGCAATGCCCTATCCCCAAATAAACATTATTTTATATTAGAGACCCTCTCTCTAAAGCTTGTCATAAATGGTGTCCAGAAGTGGGATCTGAAGCCAGATCACTTCCAGAAGGAATTGGCAGTTCTAGGAACCAGCATGTGGGAACCACCTGAGCCCCTTGAGAGCTCTGCTTCCATGCTCGCCTTTCCTGCCCTGCTGAGTCTTCACTCAGGCGGACCTTCTCTCTTTTTTGTAGAGGCCTTTTTTTTTTTTTTTAAGTTAGGGATTTGGTTTGGTTAGAAGGCCAGCTTCGATAAAACATCTTAACATCCCTCCTAGGATGATAAAAGACTTTTTATCTTTCCTGGCAATTGCTTTCTGGTTTAAAGACAACTGTCCTTCTGGCTTCAGTACTCTAGTTTCTGCAAAATTAACATTCCGTCTCTGAGACATGTCTTGCTGGTGAATTTACCCTTGTTATTTTTGCATGCCTAATTTAATATTTTGTTTGATCTGCACACCTGGGTTAAAATTTTTGTACACACTCTGATTTGGGTTTCATTTTATTAGTGATGGATGTCTGCAAATGATTGGTTCTTTCCCCCTGCTTGTTTCTGTAAATCTTCTGAGAACAAAACAAAACATTCTAAATGGTGGGTGCAGAATGACTAATTAAAAATCACTAAGGAAGTCACAACCATCTAAAATGCCAATCCAAACTTATGACCTTCCTTGACAAGATTTATAGGATTGTCTTTGCTCTCGAGAGATTTATAAAAAATGGAATGGGATTCTTAAATAGTAAGGCATGCCAAGCTTTCTGGGACTCCAGCCAGATACATGGCTTTTCCTCGTATGTTGTTGGATCAATGGTCATCATGGGGAAATCTCCAAGCTTGTTTTTGCTTAGTACAAAATTAAGAGACTGCAACCATACACTTAACATGTAGAACCTTCAAAGTTCTCTAATTTTTTCCTACCTACTTTGAATCTACTGACTTTACTGCAAGTGTTGAAATAAAATTCACTGGTTATGGCATGCAAGCCAAGATTAAAAAACAAACAAACAAACAAACAAACAAAGTCCTGAAGGGCTACCAAATGGATGGTTTTACAAATTATCATAGCTCCATGACAACCAGCAAGTTAGACACCTTCTGGAAATGTACATTTACATTTGTCTGACAATTGCTTAGGGTGATGGAACAGATAATTGAATAATAGATTTCTAAAAGAAAAATATCTAAATAAGTGTTTATAAAAGTTAGGCACTTAAATCAAAAAGGACAAAATCTTGATCTCAGAGCAATAATATATTTATATCCAACATAAAAATTGCTTTGTATGCCATGCAGGGGCCAGAAAAAAACTGGAAAAAAAAAAAACCTGGTAAAATGCTTTCTTGCCCTCATAGACTAGTTAAGTAAAATAGACCAGCAAAGAATGATAGATTTCAAGGCCACACGGGGATTTTGTTTTTCTTACACAATTACGCTATTCCTAGCTAAAATGTAAACAATGGAATATATAACCCTAAACTCACTTGAAAATGAAAAAAAAGGAGGTAGGGGAGAAAGGGTAAATGAGATTCAAAAATAAGTTGTATCTAAAATGTTGGTCCACAGACATTGTAAGACTATCTATAGGGGTCATAGAATTTAGTCATGTAAACAGGTCCTATTTTGTCAGATACATAATTTGGAACCAACTGTCTTTTATAAATTAGTATTACTATCTTATGACCAAAATTCTAGAATGAAAGCTATAAGATCTTTAGTTGTGTATGTATGTGGCTTAGGTATGTTCATACACATGCACATGTTTTATGGTATATGTTGTGTCTACATGATAAAATCTGGAGTAGAGGGCCAGAAATCCCTTTAAAAATTCTCTTCAGATTGATTTAGACAGATGCCTGCTCATATAAAATATATAGTGATAAACCTAAATGCCTTTTAGTTCACATGGCTTAAGTAAATCTTTAATAAATAAGTTGGTTTTACATTTGGTGAAGAAATAAAAATACAAATAAAAATACAAAAATACAAAGTCATTGGCATACATTTTTTTCTATGGTTTACTGGTCAGACAGGATTATATTTGTCTCTGCTAGATGTTTCAAGGTGTTAGGATTTGACGCAAAGTTTATAAAACTATCAAATCTGCCTAGAAACAGAATGATCTTTGTTTGTGTAAATCTTTGATATGTGAGAGTAATTTAATATTGCTTGTTTAATAAAAACAGCTACATCTTATGAGTTATCAACAAAATGTCCACGCAAATATCTTCAAGTCTCTTATTTAGGAAAACACTTGACATTCACAGGCTATAAAAATGGTTAACAGAGAAAAAACTTCAAATGATGACTCATTTTATCTAATATCTTAGTTTTCATAAGTAGCTAGTTATAATTGTTAAAGATAAATAAATCAGGTAAATATAAAAAAGATAAATGTTTGTGAATAAACTTTTTGTTTAATTTAAAATCTTAAAGTTTTGTTGTGTTGAATTAAGTGACAGATACTCACTAAATGTCAGGGTCACTTTCGAATAAGATACAAAACTGAAACATAAATTGCTAAACATAAATATAATTTTGTTACTGGCTTCCTATATTTTATAGAAAGTCTAAATATATTTGGGTCTATTAAGACATAACAAGTTACATTCTTTGGAATCATGTTTCTAAAATTATATAATAATTTTTATCTACAAAATACTAATTTGTAACAGAGTTAAAGATTGCTTGCTTAGTAGGCTTTCACTAAAAATTAGTGTTACTAAAAAGTAAAATAACAATTAATATACATAATTTTGTATATAAAGTGTATCAAAAATGAAATGTTTTTAATGAAAAATGTAAGAAAAGCATAAAAGTGTTCTTTATTGAGAAAAAGAATATTTTTTCTAATTTGGAGTTTATTTAAAGGTTGTTTCTAAATAAAAATTTGGAAAAATACAAAAACATGGTAAAAAGGAACAAGTAAGTAGGAGAGAAAAATGTGAAGAAAGTTATGGGTATGAAAATGTATTTTTGGTAAGAAGAGTTGAAAAGAAAAGAGAATACATTTTTATGAGAAAAAATACTATGTGGTCAATGTTTGTCCTGAAGTAAAATGACTAGATATGTTATTGTTTCAAAAATTATATAAATTAATAAGAATGTAATATGTCACCAGTCATATTTTTTGTTGTGTTAACTCTTGTTTATAGCTATATTGTGGCTACATTATCAATGTGAGTATTCTAAAGATTATGTGAAATTTATAAAAGTCTGATAGTCCTGATGTGATGCTATCAGTCATGATTTGGGTTGTTAAATAGCTAAATTTCCTTGTCAATTATAAACTTTTACTATATTTTTATCCATAGTTGTTCTAAGTTTTTGTCACCCACAGTTTTGTTTTGAATTCTCTTGAGGCATCTGCAATCAGATTCATGGAAAATACTCTAATAAGCAGTCTTAAATGGAAGTTTCGAATAACTTTAAGATAAATGAGCTAAATAAAACACTAAACTGTAATGAAGAAACTGATGAATTCATGAAACTGCAAATCAAGGTCAAGCTGAACAAAATTTAACCACATGAGATAAAGTAACTGATGAAAATAATGTTTTATGACTTATTTGAAACGTTGTTGATTCTTACTTAATTCTCCAGATTTATGGACATTTTCTCTCATAAGCTTTTGGTAGTGTATAGCAATTTGGCACAACATACTTTTTATGAACAAAGGTGGAAATATTTGTTTTTTCTCCCTACTTGATCCCCCCAAATGCAGAAACTATTCATGAGCATTTGTCATTTTTTGTGGCCGTATGGTTATTTGCATAAATTCAATAAAAATTTGCTATCTCTTTATAGAAGGATACAATCGAAAACATTGGTTGTATTACCAAGGCTTTAAACAGAACATAATATACAAGAACATGCAAAGAACATCTGCCTTCAAAGGTTCCCAGCCTTACAGTGAGTAAGTAAAAACTGTCACTTCCTGGCAAGCCTAGGAACATTAAGACAGCACATAAAATCTGCCTTGGCGAAGCTTCCTAGGCTCAAGAGGTTTTTAAATATGAGATTCTTATGTGATCAATGTAGACAGAAAAAGTTGTTTCTAAAAAAAATCTTTAATACATCTGTTATTAGATTGTAGCTCTGTAAGTATATTCAAGTTCTTGTTATCTACCTATAGACCAGATTAGATACTGAATTATTTTAGATTCCTCCAATCTAGCTTTCTTCCACAGAATTACCAAAAATGGGAACAGCTCTGTTCTTGATACCCTGTAAGTTGAAATTAGATTAATTTTTAAAAGGAAATTTCATACCTGGTATATGGGCCACACAAAATTGCACCAAACTGCTTGATGCCATAACCAGAGACATTCAAAGTGCAAACTAGGATAAGAAATTGATGTGTACACACTGTAGATAGCTTTTCCCAAGATGCTGATACAAAACTCCAAATCACAATGAGACTTCTACTCCTCTTAATGCCTTCTTTTTTGCATGACAGGATAAAAATCATTTGATTTATCAATTAGTTTAAGACTAATGACTCAAAACTATTATGCAAACTGAGATTATAATATTACCATTAATTTTGCTTTGTATTTTACCTTTTAAAACTTTGTATCTGTTACTTGTTGAATTACTGCAGGACAACTCCTAACAGAATAATGCTGGCCCAGCAATTTTAAATGATAGCCAAAGACTACAAAACAAACAAAATTGAACTTAGTAATGGACTCCAGGAAGCCTGAGTGCCACTCACTACAAACTTCCCTTGTTGCTCAAATATAGCTAAAAGAGTTTTAACACTGACCCCTAGTAACCATTTACTGCCCCCAATGTGAGATCAGACCAACAACCCAAGACAGACTCATCCCAGCACTGAGAGACAACTGAAACCTTACTGCAGGATGACTGAGCGGTGACACTTTTAGGGAAAGATCTTGATCAAAGTAGAAAAATGTGAAATTTTTCAGGATTAAAATAGAGTCATTTATTTTAGAAATAAAAATAGAGCCTGCCAAATGCAGCTGGAGAAGGCCATGAAGGGGGAATTCTCATGCATATATGCCTGATAACAAGAACTACCACGAAAGACTGCAAAAACCACAATCTTACCATTGCAACCTTACGCAAAAGAACACTTCTGCAAGGACATATGTCCTGTCCAACCTTGGAATGGCACCACCCCTGTTATTGATCCTTGTAATCAAGGATAACTATGTCAAAACAATTGTGTAATCCTCCACATTTTTTCTTTGAATACCTTTGTCTTCCTTTACCTCCCTGAATGCACACATAGTTGACTATGGCACATATATTCCTACTGAAATACCCTATCCCCAATCCAGTGTTCTATTAGAGAATTTCTCTCTGTTTGTTATTTAGGTTGACACCTTGCACCTATTGATTGATAACATTTTATTTTCCAGGATGCACTTATCATTGTTGTAATTAAGTATGAATTGTGCAATCATTTGCTTAATGCTTGTAACTTCCTTCTTGACTGTACTTTTGTTGAGGTCAAGTAGTATGTCTGTTTTAATCATCCTCTAGTTCCAGGGCTTGGCAAATTCCTTGAACTATACAAGCTCAATGCATATTTGTTATGTGCGTGAATATATGACTGATACTAAAGTAATCTAAAAAATTATTTATAGCGATGATTTATCTTTCTCAGAATTGGTCCTTATAAATGTTATATGAATCATTCCAAAACAGTACCAACTCTAGTAACAAATCCCATGAATGTGTAATTTCATTTTAATGCTGATTTGGCCCAATTTTGAACAGCATCTGGATGATACTTTGTAATGGAGTCCCATCCAAGTTCCAATTAAAAAAGAAAAAAAAAATCAGTAAAACAAAGCAAACAATGTAAACTTAAAACAACACTAATTACTAAAACTGACACCCAATATGCAGACTAATCTAGTAGGAAATTTTACTAACTATAAGAACAATTAAGTTAAACTGTCCCATCCATAGTTTATTTTATGAAATGAAATAATTTCCTCAATATGAAAATCATGTAAGATGGTAGTTACCTCTCCCCAGCCTGTCCCCTGAGTCAGACTCTTGGAGTGTCCCAGAAAATGGGCACTTATTCCTTTACAGCTCCATTCTTACTATTTGAGGGGCCAGGTACAAAGTATCTTACATACTAAGCTCCTTAGAAGATAGAAGATACAATAAAAACAAACAAACAAATAGATGTATCAGGTGCCTGTCTGGCCTGGGCACACAGTTCACTCAAGAAAAGCCCTGGGAGGCGAGGCAGTAGAATTTGCCAATTACAAATTGCCAGTCTAGCAATTCATAACTCCAGCGGCCCAGGTCTCAGCCACATGACCTTTCTGACATTCTTCTCTCCCTTCTTGTTTCCCTCCAAGCATGAACTCAGCCTCTTTTCTTTCCTTCCCTCCCTATGTTACATTGTTATTTCATACAATGGGATTTTAATAAGTTTGAGGAATATTGTTCTCAATATTCCTTCTCTATTGAGGAATCCTTCTCTATTGAGAAGGATTATAAAGCAAAACAGGAAACTACTGATAAGCAACTTGCATCATACCAACGGGCCATTTAAGATTATTTTCTGAGTAAAATACAGCCTTCCTTTAGAAACTCTACCCAGAAAGCAGTAACATGAATAATCTGTAAACCAGCACTCATTCTTGCCACCGCCAGCACCCTGCATTATATGTGCATGCTAGGTATTGTGTATGTCTTGTACAATAAGCCAGACAAGATACTAGAAGTCTCCACTTTACCTTAGCAGAGCTATTCCAATAAATACTCGCTCACAACTGAGAGAAGCTGTGCGTATCAACCTTATCTCCACCACAGATCAGAGAAAAGGCCTCAGGCAATTCCTCAAAGGTAGAATAATAAACTAATTTACAAAAATGATCACTTCCTGTTAGATATTAATGACATGGTTTGGCTGTGTCCCCACCCAAATTTCGTCTTGAATTGTAGCTCCCATAATCCCCACGTGTCCTGGGAGGAACCCAGTAGGAGGTAATTGAATCATGGGAGTGGGTTTTTCCATGTGCTGTTCTTGTGATCGTGAATAAGTTTCACAAGGTCTGATGGTTTTAAAAAGGGCAGTTCCCCTGCACACTCTTGCCTGCCACCATATGAGACATGCCCTTGCTCCTCCTACATCTTCTGCCATGATTGTGAGGCCTCCCCAGCTATGTGGAACTGTGTATCCATTAAACCTCTTTTTCTCTGTAAATTACTCATTCTCGCATATTTCTTCATAGCAGTACAAAAATGCACGAAGACAGTAATTGGTACTGGTAGAGTAGGGTACTGCCATTAACATACCCAAAAATGTGGCAGCGACTTTGAAACTGGGTAACAAGCAGAGGTTGTAACAGTTTGGAGGGTTCAGAAGAAGACAGAAAAATGTGGGAAAGTTTGGAACTTCCTAGAGACTTGGACAGCTCAGAAGACAAGAAGATGTAGAAAATTTTGGAACTTCCTAGAGACATGTTGAATGGCTTTGACCAAAATGCTGATAGTGATGTAAACACTGATGTCCAGGCTGGAGATGGAGATGAGGAGCTTGTTGGGAAGTAGACCAAAGGTGACTCTTGCTATGCTTTAGCAAAAAGACTGGTGGCATTTTGCTCTTGCCCCAGAGATCTATGGAAATTTGAACTTGAGAGAGATGATTTAGGGTATCTGGTGAAAGAAATTTCTAAGTGGCAAAGTGTTCAAGAGGAAGCAGAGCATAAAGGTTTGGAAAATTTGCAGCGTCACAATGCAAGAGAAAAGAAAATCCACTTTCTGGGGAGAAATTAAAGCCAGCTGCAGAAATTTGCATAAATAACAAGGATCCAAGGATCCAAATGTTAATCACCAGGACAATGAGAAAATGTCTCCAGGACATGTTAGACCTTCACACCTTCACAGCAGCTCTTTCCATCACCGGCTCAAAAGCCTAGGAGGAAAAAATGTTTTCCTGGGCCAGGTGCAGGTGCCCCTGCTGTGTGCAGCCTAGAGACTTGGTGCCCTGCATTGCAGCCGCTCCACCCATGGCTTGGGTGGGAGACACCAGGGTACAGCTCAAACCATGTCTTTGGAGGTTGAAAGCCTCAAGCCTTGGCAGTTTCCACATGATGTTGAGCCTGCAGGTGCACAGAAGTCAAGAATTGAGGTTTGGGGACCTCCACCTAGATTTCAGAGAATGTATGGAAACACCTGGATGTCCAGGCAGAAGTTTGCTGTTGGGGGGCACAGGGGCTCATGAGGAACCTCTGCTAGGGTAGTAAAGAAGGGAAATGTGGGCTCTGTCCCCCACACAGAATCCTTACTGGGGCGCTGCCTAGTGAAGCTGTGAGAAGAGGGCCACCATCCTCCAGACCCTAGAACAGTAGATCCACCAACAGCTTACACTGTTTACCTGGAAAAGCCACAAACAATGCCAGCCAGTAAAAGCAGCCAGGAGGGAGGCTGTACCCTGCAAACCCACAGGGGGAGAGCTGACCAAGGCTGTGGAAGATCACCACTTGGATCACTGTGACTTGCATGTAAGACATAAAGCCAAAGGAGATCATTTTTGAACTCTAACATTTAATGACTGCTCTATTGGATTTCAGACTTGCATGGAGCCTGTAGCCCCTTCGTTTCGACCAATTTCTCCCATTTGGAACAGGCGTAAATACCTTGGGAGTACCCAATGCCTGTAACCCCATTGTATGTAGAAATAAACTAACTTGCTTTCAGTTTTACAGGCTTATAGGTGGAAGGGACTTGTCTCAGATGAGACTTTGGACTGTAGACTTTTCAATTAATGCTGAAATGAGTTAAGACTTTGGGGGACGTTGGGAAGACATGATTGATTTTGAAATGTGAAAACATGAGATTCAGGAGGTGCCATGGGAAGAATGATATGGTTTGGCTATGTTCCTACCCAAATCTCATCTTGAATTATAGTTCCCATAATCCCCACATGTCATGGGAGAGGCCCAGTGGGAGGGTAATTGAATCATGGGGATGGGTTTTTCCCTATGCTGTTCTCATGATAGTGAATAAGTCTCACAAGATCTGATGGTTTCATAAAGGGGAGTTCCCCTGCACATGCTGTCTCTCTTGCCCGCCACCATGTAAGACATTTCTTTGCTCCTACTTTGCCTTCTGCCATGACTTTGAGGCCTCCCCAGCCATGTGGAACTAGGAGTCCATTAAACCTTTTTTTCTTTATAAATTACCCAGTCCCAGGTATTTCTTTATAGCAGTATGAAAATAGACTAACGCAATCTCAAACCCTGGTTTGGGGTAAATATCACTACCTTCTAGGTAAACAGAATGGGGAAAATATAACAGAAAAAAATCCTAAAAAATGATCCTGTATACAAGAAAAAGGAACCTCCATGCTGAAGTCTCAGGGGTGAAAACATATTTAAAAATATATGACTTTCAAACCATAAGAAACTATAGAACATTGCTTTAAACTATTTGTCTATGAACAGTATGTAGAAACACATGGCATTTAGGAAATAGGAGATGAAGGCTACAATGACAAAAGAGGCTCAAATCACAAAATGGGAGATAGCTGAGATGAGGCTTCTATGAAAACTAAAGTGTAAGGGCAGATTTGCCATCCACAGGGAAATCCATGGAGAAGGAAACTGACACACTGAAAAGTTCAAGCAGTAATTGAATCAGGGCTCTGGAGGGCAAAGAAAGAGATGAACTAATGACAGAGAAGCAGGCAGATGGGTATGCCAGAGACCACAGTTTTCACCTCGAGAATGGTTTGTGTATTGGGAAAAGATGCAAGGGCAATGAGATCTGAAACAATGATCAAAGCTATCACTGAATGATGAACAGCAAAAGCACCAACCAGATTCTAGTCGGGGAGGGGGAAGAAACAAGGAAAGGTACTCCATATTTAAATAGCAACTAGCCAAACTCCTGAATTTTACAAATAAAGAAAAAAAACTTCCTTAAAACTAAAATGTTAGGCTTAGATAAGACTTTTCTTCTTCTCTGTTAACATTATTAGAAGACATAAAGATTTTAAGAGAATAAGAATATAATCAAGAAAATCATCAGTATCAGGTTGCCTTTACCCAAATACAAAGAGACGGTATATCCATTACTGATTTGTCCTTCCAATAAAAATGTACACAAAGGCATATGGGTACATATTAGAAAAATAATCAACATTAATGTTTCAAGCATTAGGAAACTGTGAAGCCAAAATCCTGCAAGGGGACAATCGATTCAGTTAATTGGAAGATTTATTTTTCATATTTTATGATTATTTACCACAATAGTATTGTTAAAGTATAATTACAAAATAAAAATAAATATTTAACAATACTATAATTATAATCATGTCCTGGGTTATAAAACAAGATAGTAAGACTTGTCAGTAAGATAGAAAGGATTTTAATACTATCTCAAAATAAAGGATACAGAAGGTTTCAGGGCAAGAGAAAGGAAAAACTTTCCATATCCTTTATTTTGAGATAGTATTAAAAATTTTTGTAGGCTTACTCAAAATGTCCAGATTCTGACCACATTTGAATATGAGCACTTCTAACTTGACGGTTCCTAGTGTAAGCCGCACTTATTTCCTCTTGTGATTATTGCAAAGGCCTCTTAACTGGTCTCCCAGCTTCTGCCATTGATTCCTTTCAGCTATTTATTACACAAGTGCCAGAGAGATCTCAGAAATACAATTCAGATCATATCACTTCTCTGCTTAAAATCTTTCAATGTTGTTCCCGTCTGTGTTCATGTATTCTCATCTTTGACTCCCACTTATAAGTGAGAACATGCAGTATTTGATTTTCTGTTCCTGCATTAGTTTGCTAAGGATAATGGCTTCCAGCTCCATCCATGTTCCTACAAAGGGCATGATCTCACTTTTTATGGCTGCATAATATGCCATGGTGTATATGTACCACATTTTCTTTATCCAGTATACCATTGATGGGCATTTATGTTGATTCCATGCCTTTGCTACTGTGAATAGTGCTGCAATAAACATAGGCATGCATGTTTCTTTATGACAGAACAATTTCTATTCCTTTGAGTATATATACCCAGTAATGAGATTGCTGGTTGGAATGGTAGTTCTCTTTTTAGGTCTTTGATGAACCACCACACTGTCTTCCACAGTGGTCGAACTAATTTACACTCCCACCAACAGTGTAGAAGTGTTCCTTTTTCTCCACATTACCAGCATCTGTTATTTTTTGACTTTTTAGTAATAACCATTCTGAATGGTGTGAGATGGTAACTCACTGTAGTTTTGATTTGCGTTTCTTTAATGATCACTGATATTGAGCATTTTTTTCATATGTTTGTTGGTTACATGTATGTCTACTTTTGAAAAGGGGGGTGAAAGCTGGGAGGAGGGAGAGGATCAGGAAAAACAACTAGTGGGTAACAGGTTTACTATGTGGGTAATGGAATAATCCGTACAACAAACCCCCATGACACGAGTTTACCTACATAACAAACCTGCACACGTACCACTGAACTTAAAAGTTAAATTTAAAAAATAAAAATAAAAAAAATCTTTCAATGGTCCCATGCCAGTTTGAGGAACAGTCAAAGTCCTTAAAATGGCATACAAGGCCCTCGTTCCATAATCTGTCTTTTCATGCTTATTTCTCTGCCATCATCTATTAATACTCTTCCCCTTCCTCACTCTGCTTCAGCTATAATGGCTTCCCCGATGCTGTTCTAAGAATAAGTCCACATGTTTCTGACTCAGGGCTTTTGCCCAAGCTGTGTTCTCTCTTTGGAATGCTCTTTTTTCAGCAGAGCATGATTCTTCCACATTTCCTTCAAGTCTCTCCTCAAATGCCTTCTACCTGATGTGTAATTGTCATGTGTGACAGTTTTAAGCATAGTCCAAAAACAGGTTGATATTCTTCTCGTCAAAAAATAGGTCTAGGTCTCCTTCCCCTGAATCTGGACATGCTTGTGACTGCTACAATCAATAGAGTATGACAAGTAATTCTATCTGACCTTTAAGGTTAGATAATAAGAGAGCAGGCATTTTCCACCTGGTTCCCTTGGAATGTTTGATCTGTGGAAAGTCAGCAACCATATAAGAAGTTTACTGTGTGCAGGACTATAACTAAGAGTCCCTCCCATCTGAGCCTTGCCTTCCAGACAACCCCACCAATTTATAAGACAGAAAGAAGCACCTTGCACCTTCCAGACTGGCTTGTTTGCCAGCTGACTAGCACTGAGTCACCCTAGTTAATGATGTGAGAGAAGGAGAATCACTCAGATGAATCCTGCTGGAATTTCTTACCTATAGAATCCATGAGATATAATGAAGTGGTTGCTGTTTTACCTTATTAAATTTGGGTAGTTTCTTAAGCAGCAATAGTAACTGTAACACTGACTCACCTCTACTGCCACCAATCTCTAGCTTCCTTTCCTGATTTATTTATTTGTATGTACCACCTTTTAAAAAACACATAATTAGCAAAAACTGCAATAACTTTTGCACCAGCCTAATATTTATAAAGAAACTATAAGCAAGTTCACAAAAGTTAAAACAAAAAAAAATCAGCTTTGATAAACAAAGATGAACTATACCACTAACTACTTAAAAGAAAGACTCTAAGACTGAAATTACGAAAAAAAAAAAAAAAAAAACCCAAAAAACAAACAAACAAAAAACCTCAGCTGAAAAGAAAAAAAAAATCAAACTCTATTACCCTATTCTATTTCCAGGAAGTGTACAAACTGTTCCTATAAGTTTAACAATATTAAAATGTATAAAGGTTAATAAAGTAAAAATCAAAGACTATTTATAACATCATTGATTTCACATAAAGTAGAATTCAAAGGAAAAATAATCGCATGGAAAACAATAAAATATTTAATGTTACAAAACAAAACACTAAATGAATGTCACATTTAATTGTGAAATCACTAGCATGTCTCTCTGTTATGGCTTATTAAAGTATAAAATTTGAGCATTATAATGTATAAGATTTTCAATACTTATATACAAGAATATGTGAAGCAGTATTTTTTCAAGCTTCCATTGAAAATTTTAAAAATAGATTACATAAAACCTCAATATATATTTTTTAAAATAAAAACCATACAGGTTACATTACCTATTCAAAATTCAATTACATTAGAAATTAAGAGAAAGTTAAAACAGGACAACAAGCACCCCCATATCACCCTCCTCAGAGTATTTAAAAATAGATTCCTTTAAATTATCTCTTTTTTAAAAGAATAAAATCCAATCAATTATTAGAAAGATAATCTCAAACTGAACTCAGAAGAAGACGCAAACCATCTTCAAAGTCAATAAGGGTGATTTAAATGCTTCTTGTACTTTGAAACTCTCTGACTTCCCATTCTACTCTCAGTTGTAGAAAACTCCCTGATTTTTAAGTTTTTGTGGATTAGATTAGGTTTATCCAGATGCTCTCCCTGTCTTAAGGCTGACAGATTATTAGCCTTAGTTGCATCTGCGAGACTCCTTTTTCATGTGAGGTATCAACAGAGTAACATGAGGAAATGAAGGTCATAGGGGCTACCTTAGAATTATTCCTGCTACAACCTACATTCACTTATGTTGAATCCTCAGAGTTTAATGAGATTCTACCTGCAATAGGAGTATGGCAGTGAACGAGACAAACACGGTTCTGGTCCTTGGAACCATGTTTAATATTCCAAGTTAATGCTGAAAATTTAATAAATGGGTGGGTAGATAGATAGATGTATAAAGGTCTAAATGCACATTCAGAAAAAAGAAGGAGAAGTCTGAGACTCAATATTATTGAATATGTTTTAAAGACCCATGTATCATCTTGAATGAAAATGCTGCTCAATTTCTGATGAGGAGACTAATTCATCAATGTCTCTGTTATCATTGACTGATGACCTCACATAATAAAAGATCTTGACTTGGGTGTATATTAATAATTAATGTAATGGGTAATATATCAAGAGAGTATATGGAAGGAAATAAAAAGATATAAATTAGAATCTTAAAGAATTTTGTGTTAAAATATGTTAAAATATTTTATGTTAAAAATTTATATATTTACTTCAATTTTTAGGTGCTTCTGTTACAGGCCATCATGATTTAAATTTAAAAAATGAGACACCTTTTGTTTAGAGAATAAAATATAAAGTGTTAATAAATGCATTTTTCTGTTTATTATTTCTGGGGACTTTTGTCCACCACAACCTATTAAAAAAAAGTTACTATAGGCCGGGTGCAGTGGCTTACCCCTGTAATCCCCGCATTTTGGGAGGCCGAAGCGGGCAGATCACCTGAGTTCAGGAGTTCCAGACCAGCCTTGCCAACATGTCAAAACCCCATCTCTACTAAAAACACAAAAATTAGCCCTGTGTGGTGGCGGACGCCTGTAATTCCAGCCACTGGAGAGACTGAGACAGGAGAATTGCTTGAACCCGGGAGGCGGAGGTTGCAGTGAGCTGAGATCACACCACTGCACTCCAGCCTGGACAAGATCAAAACTCCATCACAAACAAACAAACAAACAAAAAACCCCAAACAAACAAAAAATGTTACTATAATTATATCTCTTTTGACTATAGCCTGGAAGAATCACTTTTTCCCCAACTTAAGGAAGTGGAGAATTATCCAAGCTTTGAGTATAAATATATAAAAAGTAATTTTCACTTTCTTGAAACTGACTTGATGAAAAGGCATATGGCGTTCCCAAAAAATGTCTGACGAGTGAGAATATTAAAATGACTAAATTGATGGGACATATTTAATTTAATATTTAAACTTTACAAATCAAAATAAAAAATAGTTAAGAATTTAACTCAAGAACTTCAAAATGGTACAGCAAAACATACAAGCAAAATTAAAAGGAATGCTAATTACATATTAAGTTAAAAGGCAATAAATTATAAACAAAAACAGTAAAAATTTATAAACATACACGAGTTCATTCTTTAACAAATAGCCCATAATACGGAAAAATATAGCAAATATGATAAAATCAAACACTAAGAAAATATAAAATTTAAAGAGAAAAACATAAAAATACAGCAATTGTTTTAAAGACAAAAAACACTATCTTAGAAAGTTAAATACGTGTTTCACTAAAATAAACATGTACTGGTTAAATGAATCTTAATTTAATTTTAAAAATGTTAAATAGGTTGCATGTATCAATTTTTGCAAGAAACATAAAACCTTATTTAAAAAAAATTTTAAGTCCCTATAACCAGTGTTTTTAGTAAGTATTTGTTTGAAAAGTCTTATAAAATGGACCCAAAACTATGAAATATGTATAAAGTTATAAGAAGGGGCTTCCTTTCAGTTCATTTTACAAAGCAAATATAACTATTACCAACTCTTGATGAAGTTAATATAAAAATAATAAAATTACTAAACAGTATCTCTTATAAACATAGTTTAAATATTCTTAACTAAAAGAAAAAGGAACTGAATTCTACACTTCCTGAGAAATCAGCCACCCCAATGATTTGGCATAGAAAGATTTAATACCAGGAAATATATATTAATATAATTCAACACAACAATAAAGCTGTTTATTTACTTTATATTGTACATTTACTGCTACAGACATAGTGTTTATATCCCTCTCAAATTCATATGTTGAAATGCTAACCGCCAATGTGAGGGTTTTTGGAGATGGCGCTTTTGGGAAGTAATTAGGTCATGAAGGAGGAGCCCTCATTAATGGGATTAGCAACCTTATAAAGCAGCTCCATAGAACTCCCTTGTTCCTTCCCCAACTGAGGTTACAGAGAAAGGGCAGCCTTCTTTGAACCAGAACACAGATTTTCACCAGACACCAAACTGACTAGTGCCTTGGTCTTAGATTTCCCAGCCCCTGGAATTGTGAGATATTCCTTTCTGTTGTTTATAAGCCACAAAGTCTATGGTATTCTGGTACAGCAGCCCAATTCCAGATATTTATTTAATGATATTTAACATGCATGACCGATAAAATTTAGCAAAGTAGTTATAGATATGTCCTTACTAAAATGACTAAAAATAACTATCTTAAACTGATGCACACTTTTACTATTTAGTTCTAGCCAAAGCCATAAGATGAAAACACAAATAAGAAACCACCATGGTACTGTATACCTATATAACAAACCTGCACGTCCGCACATGTATCCCAGAACTTAAAATCATATTTAAAAAAATAATTATTTATATATGAAAAAGAGAGTACATGATAATAGTTTTTTTTCAAAAACTAATACTTCAGTTATAAGTTCTCTGTGATATGTGCCATATAAAAAACATTAGGGGGGTATGTGCATAGTTGCAAGAATTAGAGAGAGACAAATCTTCTGTAGGAGACAATATGATTATAGAGAGAAATCTTAGGCTGTTTATCACAGAGATTGATCTGAGTCCTATTTCAGCCTCTAAATTACAATGTAGATTTGGTCATTCATTATGTCTTCTCGATTCTCAATGTATTAGTCCATTCTCAAGCTGCTATAAAGAACTGCCCAAGACTGGGTAATTTATAAAGGAAAGAGGCTTAACTGACTCACAGTTCCACATGGCTGGGGAGGTCTCAGGAAACTTACAATCATGGGGAAAGGGGAAGCAAACATGTCCCTCTTCACATGATGGCAGGCTGAGCAAAGAGAGAAAAGCTCCTTATAAAACCATCTGGTCTCATGAGAACTCATTCACTATCACAAGACCAGCAGCATAGGGACAACCACCCCCATGATTCAATTACCTCCCACCAAGTCCCTCGAACAACCACATAGATTATGGGAACTACAATTCAAGATGAGATTTGGGTGGGAGACGCAGCCAAACCATATCACTCAATTATCTTATGTATAAAATAATTGTAATATGTTCTAATTTTCCGTGTAGCTGCGTGTACTAGGTGAAATCATACCTGCATATCACCAATGGTTAGGCAGTTTGACAAATACTACTTACTACTATTTTGATCAAAAGAATGAATACAAAAGTACTCATTTTAGGATGATTCATTTTTCTCAATCATAAATATGAAGGAGATATGTAGGAGAGCAAATAAAAAATATTGAAAATAGTGTTATAACTATGAGGGTTAATTACTCCTTATATGAACATTACCTGTGGAAAACTCATATTATTACACAAACTACTTCAAAATAATCCAAAATCCCAGACATTTAACTAGTCTAGTTGTATTAGTCTGTTTACATGCTGCTGATAAAGACATACCTGCGACTGGGAAGCAAAAGAAGTTTAATTGGACTTACGGTTCCACATAGCTAGGGAGGCCTCAGAATCACAGGGGGAGGCAAAAGGCACTTCTCACATGGCAATGGCAAGAGAAAAATGGGAGAAGAAGCAAAAGCGAAAACTCCTGATAAACCCATCAAATCTCATGAGACTAATTCACTGACATGAGAAAAGCACAGGAAAGACCGGCCCCCATGATTCAATTACCTTTCCCTGGGTCCCTCCCACAACATGTGGAAATTCTGGGAGATACAATTCAAAATGAGATTTGGGTAGGGACACAGCCAAACCATATCATTCCACCTCTGGCCCCTCCAAATCTTATGTCCTCACATTTCAAAACCAAGTATGCCTTTACAAACTGTTCCACAAAGTCTTAACTCATTGCAGCATTAACCCAAAAATTCACAGTCCAAAGTCTCATCTGAGACAAGGCAAGTTCCTTCCACCTATAAGCCTGTAATCAAAAGCAAACTAGTTACTTCCTAGATACAGTGGAGGTACAGTTATTGGGTGAATACAGCCATTCCAAATGGGAGAAATTGGCCAAAACAAAGACGTTACAGGGCCCATGCAAGTCTGAAATCCAGCAGGGCAGTCAAATTTTAAAGCTCCAGAATGATCTCCTTTGACTCCTGGTCTCACATCCTGGTCACACTGATTCAAAAGGCAGGTTCCCATGCTCTTGGGCAGCTCTGCCCCTGTGGCTTTACAGGGTACAGCCTCCCTCCCGGCTGCTTTCACAGACTGGCATTGAATATCTGCGGCTTTTCCAGGTGCACTGTGCAAACTGTCGGTGGATCTACCATTCTTCTGGAGGACAGCAGCCCTCTTCTCACAGCTTCACTAGGCAGTGCCCCAGTAGGGACTCTGTGTGGGGCTCTGATCCCACATTTCCCTTCCACACTGCCCTGGCAGAGGTTCTCCATGAGGGCCCCACCCCTGCAGCAAACTTTTGCCTGGGCATCCAGGAGTTTCCAAACATCTTCTGAAATCTAGGCAGAGGTCCCCAAACCTCAATTCTTGACTTTTGTGTACCCACAGGCTCAACATCTGGAAGCTGCCAAGGCTTGGGGCTTGCACCCTCTGAAGTCACATTTCAAACTGTACATCGGCTCCTTTCAACCATGGCTGGAGTGGCTGAGACACAGGGCACCAAGTCCTTAGGCTGCATATAGCACAGGCACCCTGGGCCTGGCCCATGAAACTACTTTTTCCTCTGGGGCCTTCTGGGCCTGTGATGGGAGGGGCTGCTGTGAAGGTCTCTGACATGGCCTGGAGACATATTCCCCATGGTCTTGGGGATTAACATTAGGCTCCTTGCTACTTATGCAAATTTCTCCAGCCAGCTTGAATTTCTCCCCCGAAAATGGGTTTTTCTTTTCTATAGCATAATCAGGCTGCAAATTTTCCAAACATTTATGTTCTGCTTCCCTTACAAAACTGAATGCCTTTGACAGCATCCGAGTCACATCTTGAATGCTTTGCTGCTTAGAAATTTTTTCCACCAGATACCCTAAATCATTTCTTTCAAGTTCAAAGTTCCACAAATCTCTAGGCAGAGGCAAAATGCTGCCAGTTTCTTCACTATAACATAACAAGAGTCACCTTTGTTCCAATTCCCAACTACTTCCTCATCTCATCTGAGACCACCTCAGCCTGGATTTTACTGTCTGTATTGCTACCAGCATTTTGGGCAAAGCCATTCAACAAGCCTCTAGGAAGTTCCAAACTTTCCCACATTTTCCTGTCTTCTTCTGAGCCCTTCAAACTGTTCTAATCTCTGCCTGCTACCCAGTTCCAAAGTTGCTAACACATTTTTGGGTATCTTCAGCAATGCCCCACTCTATTGGTACCAATTTACTGTATTAGTCTGTTTTCACGCTGCTGATAAAGACTGGGAAGTAAAGGAAGTTTAAGTGGACTTACAGTTCCACAAGACTGGGGAGGCCTCAGAATCACAGCAGAAGGTGAAAGGCACTTCTTACATGACAGGGGAAAGAGAAAAATGAGAAAAGAAGCAAAAGTGGAAACCCCTGATAAACCCATCAGATCTCCTGAGACTTATTCACTGTCATGAGAATAGCACAGGAAAGACTCCCCTCAATGATTCAATTACCTCCCCCTGGGTCCCTCCCACAACATGTGGGAATTCTGGGAGATACAATTCAAGTTGAGACTTGGGTGGAGACAAAGCCAAACCACATCACTAGTTAATTGTGTTATGCCAATATGAATTTCCTGGTTTTGACAATGCACTGTAGCTATGTAAAATATTGTTGGGGGAAGCTGGGTGACAAATACATGGAGTTCCTCTGTATTTTGCTTGAAATTTATTTTTTGAGTCTGTAATTATTTCAAAATAAGAAGTTAAAAATAAATATTCCAAATTTAAATTCTAAATAATATGATTCAAGAAGAGAAAAAGTTGCAAGAAACAATAAAGAAGGAAATATTTCAGAAATGGCAGTTTCAATCCTATAAAACAGAAATGGAGAACAAACAGAAATGTTATTGGAGGAAAAAAATGTTCAATAACATGAAGAAATGAAATATAAACACATTTATTACCACAAAACATCCTATTAAGTAGTATCTCTCTTTGAAATTATAAATCCAATACAATCTGAACTTTTCTAAAATCTCAGTTCTTATTTTTTATTCTCTTGATTAAAACAAAAATATATCATCTTAAGCGTACCTCAATCTAGTGTTCCCATAAAGTATTAATTCCTGTTTAAAAGTACCTAACGTGTTTTAAAGGTAACTACAAAAGCAGAAGTTACTACACGGGGAAGATGCAAACAAAGGAAAGATATGAAATTGTCAAGCCTCATCAGAATCAAATATGAGAGCACAGATTCCAAGCAAACCTAATATTTCTGCTTTGTGTAGACAAAAGGGCATCCAATAAAGGACATATACAAGCCATTACTCAGGAGACCAAACCTTAGAGACACAAGTCTGACATTTCCTATTTCCTTTAAAACAACTCTGCAAATCTATTGAAACCCACAGCAACAGCCTTGGAGATTTGAGATTACCTGATAATTTCAGAACTGATGTTTGACACACACTGATGTGCTGAATATTTTCCTTTAGTCACAGGAGATCTCCAGCTCCAGAAATCATAAGTCAAAGGGGCATACACTCAATTCATCCTTTGTTATTGAGTGGTTTGTTTTTGCTAGATAATTTATGGAAAATTAGCACAAAATGACAGCTAGGATATGGTGTAGGGATACCAAGCAGAAAAGAAACTTGAATATCATTACCAACATAAGATAAAAAGGCCATTCAGCAAATAAAGGTCAAATGAAAGAATCAACCTAAGTTTCTATGTAATTTTAACTCTGAAATGCACTTTCAGCAAAACCCTGGGCAGAGGTAGTTTGGTTGCCTTATTTCTTGCCTAAGCTGTATTTCAGAATTCTCCATGGCTTAAGATACACACCATTATCAAAATCCTAACAAATGTGCATTGCTTTTGTCTCAATAATTTAAATTTACCATCGTAAGAAATTCAACAGAAGGGTAGTCAAAATATATGGGCATAGATGTTCATCACAGCACTATTTTGGTAGGCCAAATTAAAAACAATAGACATATACATAGACATATACATGAATTATGGAATATTCATTCCAGGGGATCATATACAAATGTTAAAAATTATTAATAAAAAATGGATTGAAATAGGAAAATTCTGACTACATCCTATAAAGGTGATAAAAACAAGATTAAAACTGTTAATATAATAGTACCTCAACCGTGTAAAATCAAGGCCATGCATATGCCTTGAAAAAAATAATAGCAATTTTTCACATACAGGGTGACTATAAAATTAATCGTCCACACAAGGGCACTACTGAGAGTGAAAGAGGGCTTCATATTAATAGTCTAGGACAGGAGGCCTAAACTGAGATTCTTTCACAGGCACAGAACATGAGTCACTTTACCTATTCTGTGCTTACTATGTTCCAGGCATGACTTTAAATACTATGTATTTTTGGTCTCATTTAACTCATACAAGAACATGGAGATATGGATTCACATTTCGGAGATCAGGAAACTGAGGCCCAGAGACATTCAATAACTTGCCCCAGGCTGGGCATGTGGATCATGCCTGTGACCCCAGCAGGTTGGGAAGCTGAGGCAGGAGGATAGTTTGAGTTCAGGAGTTTGAGACCAGCCTGGGCAACATGTTGAAACCTCATCTCCATCAAAAAACAAACATTTAGCTGGGTATTGTAGTGTGCCTCTGTGGTCCCAGCTACTCAGGAGGCTAACAGGAGGAGTCCTTGAGCCTGGGAGGCAGGGGTTGCAGTGAGCTGAGAATGGGCCATTGCACTCCAGCCTGGGTGACAAAGTGACTGTATTAATCCATTTTGATGCTGCTGTTAAAGGTACACCCAAGACTGGGTAATTTATACAGAAAAAGAGGTTTAAAGGTCTCACAGTTCCACATGGCTGGGGAGGCCTCACACTCATGGGGGAAGGTGAAAGCCATGTCTCACATGGCGGCCGACAAGAGAGCTTGTGCAGGGGGACTCTCGTTTTTAAAACCACTGGATCTTGTGAGACTTATTCACTATCATAAGAACAGCACGGGAAAGGCCCGCCCCCATGATTCAATCACTTCCACCAGGTTACTCCCTCAACAGGTGGGAATTGTGGGGGGTTACAATTCAAGATGAGATTTGGGCGGGGACACAGCCAAACCATATCAGTGACACCCTATCAAAAATAAAAACAAAAACAAAAAACCTGCCCCAGTTTGGTGAGTTGAAATTTTAAGTCCAGACAATCTGACTAGAGTCCATTCTCTTAATCACTATGCAAAATACTTCCCAGAAACACTTAAAAGAAACATACCAAAATACTAAGACTGCAGATTAGATTGGAAGACATGTTTATGCTTATAAAACAGTTCAATATTTTCTAGATTTTCTATGGCAATTGCATATCATTTTCTATGGCAATTGCATATCATTTTCTATAAAATAAACATTTTAAATGAATCAATAATTTACTGATAGAAAAATACTGCATCTATGCATTCACTTTTGGTGTAAGAAAGATAAACTACAAAAATACAGAGATGGTGGATTAATAAAATATTTTGAAATGACTTGCCATTTTATTTTCTTAATTATTTGCTGGTTTTTTAAGTAAAACCATCATTAAGTTTCCTTCTTTGTTCTTTCTTCCATGAGTGTTTTTTAAAACACCACTGCAGTACCAAATATCATTTGCCAGATTTAATATTGACTTCATTTTCTGTACTGCATATATGCTAATAATATGGATAAAGCACGATGTATATAAAATATGCAAATGTATCAAGTTTTCTTCTCTATCACTTTCAATGTGCATAGACATTAGGTAAGTTATACTATATATGTTATATGCTTATTGTGAGAAATAAGTCAACTTCAATACTATATTTCATATTGATATATTCATCCTATATGTCATATAAATAACATATATGCATATAATGTGCCTATATACATATGGATGCACATATTAACACCTTAATTTTCTTGATTATAATATTTTGAATGAAATTTTTCAGGTTCTATAACCATCTTTCTGACAAACAAAATTAACAACATATGAATATGTTTCCTTTTTGTGCTAATTTTTAAAAAGAAAGAAAAAGAATGCTTACTTCTCATTTATTGTTTGATGTCTTTCTTCCTAAATGTTTCCAAGGCTCTTATAAGTTATATTTTATTTTTTTGAACTTGAGTGATAACCCTGATTGTGGAAATTCTTAGTACTCTTACTTTAGTGAGATGTTTATTTGGGCTCTTTTCTCCCTGTCAGCCTGTCACGGGGTATCTCATATATGCTTTGCTACTGTACTCCTTAGCCTACACTCTGGAACCACAATTGAGGTATTAATATGAGAACAGCCATTTACAGCTGGAAAAGAGGCACTGTCACTGTCTTCTAGTTTACCTCTTCTGTTTCTAAGAAGAAGGACATTTTCCCAGAGAGATGAGGGACTCCATCCACACCTTGGCAGTCTCTCTGCTTTGGTATTTTCAGAGTGTTTTCCCTTCACAGACAGAGGTTCACCATCACCAACTGTCATTTCTTTTCATCTTTCCACCGCAATTTTGCCTTCGGTGACCTATGTATTTTATTTTCTAGAATTTTGCGTTTCTTCTTTAACTCTTTCTTTCTTTCAGTCACACACCTGAAGCAGCCTTATGTTACTGTCATGAAAAAAGCAGTTGTAGGCTCTGCACTAATCTAGCGTCATGGCAATGCATTTTCTCTCCCTCACTCCATTACTGTGTAAAGGAAAACGAAGTTATTTCCAAAAGCAAATCATTCCAGAGATGAAAAATCTAATCCAAAGTGGCTGAAAAAAAAAAACTTAATTTGAAGATGTAAGACTGTACTAATACCAATGTAATTAATATACTAAAATTTTAGAACATTGGGATCCAATGTAATTTGTGAATCTGAGTCAACAAATAAGTTAGAAGTTATATATTTACTGTATTTTTTAATTTTAAAGGTAGTACTATGCACTATTGCTATATATTCCTCTTTTTTTAACCTTTTTTTTAGATTTTGGGGGTACATGTGAAGGGTTGTTACATAAATAAACATACATCACAGGGATTTGTTGTATATATCATTTCATCACCGAGGCATTAAGCCCAGTACCCAGTGGTTATCTTTTCTGCTCCTCTCCCTCCTCCCACCCCTCTCTCAAGTAGACCCCGGTGTCTGTTTCCTTCTTTGAGTTCATAGGTTCTTATCCTTTAGCTCCCACTTATAAGTGAGAACATGTGGTATTTGGTTTTCTGTTCTTGTACGAGTTTGCTAGGGATAGGTAAATGTATACAGGTTGAATATCTTTAATCAGAATATCTAAAATTGAAAATGTTCCAAAATCTGAAACTTTTGAGTACTGACATGCTGTCAAAAGTTGAAAATTCCACACCCAACCTCTTATGATTTACAGGAAAAATGCAGGCACATAACACATAGTCTATTCAGTATCCACAAGGCTAAAATAAAATTACCTTTATGCTGTGTATATCAGGTGTATGTGAAACATAAATACATTTGATGTTAAGACTTGGGTCCCATCCCCAACATATCTCATTACCTATGTGCAAATATTCCAAATTCTGAAAATATCCAAAATCCTAATCACTTCTGGTACCAAGCATTTCAGATAAGGAATATTCAACCTGTATTTCCTTCCAAATGCAACACGGATCAACTTGAATAAATTTATCAAGACCGTATTCTTCTAACATGTCAATGTTTAAGCAAGAAACCAGAAAAAAATAACTCAAATATACTGAGAGCTATATTAATTCATTCTGCATTTTCTGCTTAATACATAAATTTTTAATTCTTCCTGAGCACATTAATCACATTTTTATTACATAGTTCTCCAGAATATGCGTCTATAGCGTGAAGACTCCAGTTGATGAGGGATGTTACTCATTGTCTCCCTGAAGGTGCTTTACTCATGGTAAGTGCCCTGTTAATACAGGTGAAATGAACTGCACTGTAAGTGTCATGGCGTCTGCTTATTAGTCATGCATATAATTAATCAAAATTATATTCATAAGGATAAAGGCTAGCCCTTAAAGTGAAGTATTCCGATCATTTCATAAGAGCTTAGGGAGACTGAGTTTCCTTACATTCTAATATTTTAAATATTAACTTACCATGCTTCACTCTTGCAGACAACCCTCAGGAGTGATAAATCAAGGCTCAGGACAAGAATTGCTGTCATTTGTTCAGGCAATTTTATCTACTCCTTTTCTAACAAACCATTCTCTTGTTCTTGAAGCATTTCATACTCTACGGTGCATAAGGGAGTTCTTCATCTTTAGAGAGGCAGGAATAGTAACAGTATCAAAAAGAGAAAACAGATTTTCAATTCACCTTGGTGAATGTAAGAATCTGATGGAGCGTGTTAGGCCAAATAACTCTTAATGGATAGTCTTTACCAATTAAGGGTCTCCAAGAAAGTGAGAAATCATTCTCACAAAGTCATGTTATACTAATATTATGTGATATGGTTTTGCTCTGTGTCTCCACCCAAGCCTTATGTTGAACTGTAATCCCCAGTGTTAGCGGAAGGACCTGGTGGGAGGTGATTGTATCATGGGGGTAGATTTTCCCCTTGCTGTTCTCATGACAGTGAGTTCTCAGGAAATCTGGTTGTTTAAGTGTGTAGCACTTCCCCCTTTGCTCTCTCTCCCTCTGCTGTCACCATGTGAAGATGTGCTTGCTTCCCCTCACCTTCCGCTACAATTATAAGTTTCCTGAGGCCTCCCCAGCCATCCCTCCTGTACAGCCTGCAGAATTGTGAATCAATTAAACCTCTTTTCTTTATAAGTGCTACCAGTCCCAGGTAGCTCTTTATAGCAATGTGAGAACGGTCTAATACATTATGAAATCAAATAAGCACTTGGATTTCATTGTTTAGATAAAGAGGCCATAGAAGTACCAAAATTAAAATCTCAGCAATAATGTAGGAGAAAACGTATAAGTTACTCAAAGAATAGCAGCAATAAGAAGAGAGAAAAATATATTCAATAGCAAATAAAGTTATACCCAATTTATAAAAGTAATTTTCAGAAGATATTGCAGTAGTGTGGTACATATATTTTTCCTTTAGGACTCTGGCTTTGTCCAAGAATACAATTAATAATCTCTATAGAGGAGTCAGAAACACCATTGCTGGCGAGGTGGTTCACGCCTATAATCCCAGCACTTTGGGAGGCTGAGGCGGGTGGATCATGAGGTCAGGAGTTGGAGACCAGCCTGGCCAACATGGTGAAATCCCATCTCTAGTAAAGATACAAAAAATTAGCCAGTCGTGGTGGCAGGTTCCTGTAATCCCAGCTACTTGGGAGGCTGAGGCAGGAGAATCACTTGAACCCAGGGGGCAGAGCTTGTAATAAGCCAAGATTGCACCAAGGCACTCCCACGCCAATGCACTCCAGACTGGGCAACAGGGCAAGACTCCATCTAAAAACAAAACAAAACAAACGAAACAAAACAAAAAACAACACCATTGCTGGACAATTTCACCCCATATATGTATAGTCAAATTGATCCTTTATTTCTTTCCTCCTTTTTCAAAAAGTGAAATGTTCCTCTTCTCCTAGGCCCATCCGTCTTGCATAACTAAGGAAACCATTCCACTGCATATAGTGTCTCTGTACTATGTCACCCATTCCTCTGTTCCTGACCATACAAACCAGAACATTAATATCTCCCACATAAAATAAACAATCATAAATACATAAATACCCCACTTCCCCTCTAACCTCTACCTCATTTTTTGTGTTCTTTTTCAGCTAAACTTCTTGTCTCTAATTCTTTTTTGAGACAAGGTCTCATTCTGTCACCCAGGCTGGAGTGCAGTGGCACAGTCACAGTTCATTGCAGCTTCAATCTCCCAGGCTCAGGAGATCCTCCCTTGTCAGCCTCCTGAGTAGCTGGGATTACAGTCATGTGCCACCAGACCCAGCTAATTTTTTAATAGTTTGTGGACAGGGTTTTTTGCTATATTACCCAGTCTGGTCTTCAACTCCCAGGCTCAAGTAATCCTCCTATCTTGACTTCCCAGTGTTGGGATTATAGGCATGAGGCACCATGCCCAGCCTTGTCTCCTATACTTTACCTCATATTACTTTCAGTTCCCCTGATTAGGTTTCTATCACATGATTACTCTAAAATTGACACTTTCCAAAGTCTCCAATAATCTTTATGTTGTCCAACCATATGGTCATTTTCTGGCTTCATCTTACTTGTCATCTAATCTTACTGTTTCTGACATGGTTGACCAGTTCCTAAATTCTTCACTAAAGGCTAATTCCTTTGTAATTCTTTTGCCCCAGTGAATGACACAGCTTATATAGCTTATATTTGGTTTACTCCTTCCTTAGTGGCTGCTTTTTCTCAATATCTCTTGTATCCTACTCTTCAATATGACCTTGAAAAAAGACAATTTCTTGAATAATATGATTTCAATTTAACAGTTTAAACACACCATTTTCCTGTATCTATAAAACTATATTTCTCATAGGGCTTTAATCAGCTCATTTAAGAGCTTACAATTTACTGATAATCACACTCAGAAATTTAGCCATGTCCCCTTTTGAAAATTCTGAATTTTCCACAGATATTATAGCAACATGAACAATATTTATCAGACAGCATTTCCAGTGGGAAAATCCCTTTTATTTGAAATGCTATACAATTGTTCGTTCATTTATAATAAAAGTTAATATTTGATCAGAAATATCTAAATTTTTGAATTAATTTTCCTTATTTAGATAACTTACTTAAACTTCTAAACCATCCATCCCTCGTGAATTTACATTATTAAATCAATAACAAAGCACTCTGGCTTAATTCTAAGAAACAACTTTTTAGTAGATTTAACATTTGATTAAATCACAAGGAAACTGAAAGCATTGTCTTTTTGTGATAGGGACAAACACACTGAAAACCACACTTTACACTTTAGATAACATTTGAGGATTCATGTGTCCATAAATCTTTCTTAGAATTAAAATATCACATTAAATCTCTCTGTTCCTTTTAATGTCCATGATTTCTTTTCTATGTTTTAGTAAGTGACACAGAGGAAAACACTGAGCAGACACCATTTCTAAATTGGTAAACTGCCCTGGACTGCCACATTACTCTCTTTTCTGCAAAAGGTGTAGAAGATTAGAGTTCAGGCAAACATGTCATGTAAGTGGTGAAGATTCCCTGTTTCCACTGGGACAGCAGTAGAACTGAAGGGAAATTAGACAACAGTTACCTCAGCAGTAGAGACTCAATGATGATACTTTTTTCTTTTTTTGAGACAGAGTTTCACTCTTGTTTCCCAGGCTGGAGCACAATGGCGTGACCTCGGCTTGCCACAACCTCTGCCTCCCCAGTTCAAGTGATTCTCCTGCCTCAGCCTCCCGACTAGCTGGGATTACAGGCATGTGCCACCATGCCCAGCTAACTTTGTATTTTTAGTAGAGACAGGGTTTCTCCATGTTGGTCAGGCTGGTCTCAAACTCCCAACCTCAGGTGATCTGCCCGCCTTGGCCTCCCAAAGTGCTGTGATTACAGGCCTGAGCCACCACGTCCCCACATCCAGCCAATGATGATACTTTTACTTCAATAGTGGAAGCTGGTAGTTTCCAAAAATAGAGCTAAACAGTGAATCAATTATTAAAGCACATTTAAAGTCACATGCAAAATTCATTATTATAGAAAAGATAGAAGGCAACCGCAATAAGTGGGTGAATTTAGAAATTTAATTTTAATATGAAAGGTTCATAATGTCAAAACTGACTATATTAGTCCATCTCATTGCTATAAAGGAATACCTGGGACCGGGTAATTTATAAAGAAAAGAGGAGTATTTGGCTGATGGTTTTGCAGGCTGTACAAATATGGCACTAGTATCTGCTCAGCTTCTCCTGAGGCCCAGGAAGCTGTCAATCATGGCTTAAGGCAAAGGGGGAGCCGAAGTATTACATGAGGAGAGAAGGGGCAAGGGAGATGCCAGGCTCTTTTAAACAACAAGATCTCTTGTGAATTCATAGAGCGAGAACTCACCCATTACCAGGAGGACAGCACAAAACCATTCATGGGGATCCACCTTTGGGAAAAAAACACCTTTTACTAAGCCCACCTCCAACACTGGAAGTCACATTTCAACATGAGATTTGGAGGGGACAAAATATCCAAACCATATCACTAACAGAAATTTACTGTTTAAATTTCTGTATTCAATCCCTTGGCCTTTTTGAGAAATGCCATTCATTTCAACCATCAAGCAAATTATTATTTGAGACATTTATACCTTTTCATTCTTTGAAACTTTCAGAAGCATGAATTTAAAAAGTATTCATGGCCGAGCACAGTAGCTCATGCCTGTAATCCCAGCACTTTGGGAGGCTGAGGTGGGTCGATCAGCTGAGGTCGGGAGTTCGAGACCAGCCTGACCAACATGGAGAAACCCCCATCTCTACTAAAAATACAAAATTAGCTGGACATGGTGGCACATGCCTATAATCCCAGCTACTTGGGAGGCTGAGGCAAGAGAAGCACTTTAACCCAGGAGGCAGATGTTGCGGCGAGCAGAGATCGTGCTATTGCACTCAAGCCTGGGCCACAAGAGTGAAACTCAATCTCAAAAAAAAAGTATTCATTGTAAATATGAGGGCAGTCAAATTGATGTGACATCTAAGTAGTAGAGGGATGGGATGAGGAGACAGAAAGTCACAAGAGGAGGTAGGGAGAAGCAGAGAAAAAGAAAAATGGGAAGAGAGAACAAGAGAGAAATGAGGAGAGAGAATAAGAAAAACAAAGAAGGAAGAGGAAAAGCAAAATTGTTTAAATGAGTAGCAAATATTATCTGACGTTTCTGCCATGGGGTCATGGGATATTTGAAGTGCCAGAAAATTCAGAAGTTTAAAAAAAATGTGACGTTAGTGTAGTGAGGTTTTAACTTGTAAGAAAACAAGAAGTGATTCCTTTTAAGAGGACCTTCTTAAAGATGCTGTTGTCTTTCTTATTCTTCCTTTAGCTCTTCTTCACCTCTCCACTGCTACAGAATTTTATATCAAATAGTTGGCATTAGCTAGACCAATGTCTTTGACAACTGATCCTCACCAAGGAAAATCATAATTTATTATTATTATTTTTAATTCATAGTATTTATTTGTACACGAGATACATTTTTTTTAAGAGAAAGTGGAAAACAGAAAAGAAAAAAACTCTTCAAAATTTGTTTGGGGATCTCCCATGTTTGCCAAAGTAATCCCACAAAATCAATTAACATTTTACTTTGAAAATTAAGACAAAAACAGGCCAGGTGCGGTGGCTCACACCTCTAATCCCAGCATTTTGGAAGGCCAAGGCAGGCAGACCACGAGGTCAGGAGTTCAAGACCAGCCTGGCCAATATCGTGAAACCCCGTCTCTACTAAAAATACAAAATTAGCCGGGTGTGGTGTCACATGCCTGTAGTCCCAGCTACTCAGGAGGCTGGAGGCTGAGGCAGGAGAATCGCTTGAACCTGGGAGGCAGAGGTTGCAGTGAGCCAAGATCTCACCACTGCACTCCAGCCTGGGTGATAGAGCAAGACTCTGTCTCAAATTAAAAAAAAAAAAAAAAGAAAGAAAATTAAGACAAAAACAAATTGTAGAAATGTGTTTGCTATAATGTGTGCATAGCTTCAGTTTCAGGATCCCAAAATTGAACATTCAAAATTTTGGTTTGGAATATCCTTTTCTGAATATGCTTAGAATTACTTAACTTGAAAACTTTGGATATTCTATCTCCTTTTAAAATAGACTGTTTTATTTTTATTCAAAGTTTTGCAAGTCCTTAATTTGAAAAGCACTTTCTTTTAATGTTGTAGTGGTAATTAATATTACTTAAAAGTAAAACTTAAACAACTTTTGCTCATTTTTAGTCACAGCTCATAGTCCCTAAGTTTATTTTTCTAAAGATAACTGTATTACTATCACTTATAAATAATATGGCAAAAGTTGCTACATGGGTCCAGTTCTATACAATATATACTATTTACATGTAATATTTCACAAAGTTCTATTGCATCTAAAGCACACAATAGATTCCATCGTTTAAAAACAATAATGATTATTTTCCTGTAAAAGCAAAGACAGTAAAACAAAATCAGATTTAAAATAAGCCTGAAACAAAGCATGATTTCCTTGAGCTTACCTAAGTAAACCTTATTTACATGTGAATTTATCAATAATTAGCAAAAGTAAAAGTCATTATGAAATTCTCCAAATCTTTCAAAGAAAACTACTATCTTACATTCAAGCATTGAGTTTGCCCATCAAATTACTTAAGCTCAACCTTTCCCTCAATCTTCAAAACTCTGGCATATAACTACACAAACACTTCTGAAGGGGACAGAATCTCCTTTTATCATTCATTCTACCAACCATCAACTTCATAAGAATTAGAATCAAGTGTAATAAGAATGAACCAAATATAATCATTGATATAAATTTATGTGTTCAGACATAGTCTTTAGACATATTTATCAGTGCACATGTAAATAATACTCAATAACTTCTTTAATAGAGTTCTGCAGAGAAATAGAACCAACAGGATGTGTGTATATAACTCAATTATGTATTTCATCAGCTTCCTTTTTATGTAATGGAAACTAACTACATCTAATGATGAAATCTTTTTCATTCATTAATCATTAAAAGGGGAGAGAGAAGTCCAGGCTGGGTTTGTGTCCAAAAGGGTTTCTATTTTTATTCCTTCACAGTTATCTCCACGCTGCATGATTCTTCCTCTCAGATATTAACCATAAGGAATGGTTAGCCTCAGACTATAGCTGTAGATGAGAAACACCGCCTCTGGATAATGAGGATGCATGGACTTTAATCAGTTCTAGCAGGAAACCTTGGCTTAGACAACTATGTAGTTGATGGTATCCCTATAGGAAAAAATATATATAGAGAGAGAAAGAGAGTGAGAGAGAGACAATTTTGTGGTAGCAGGACAGATTCAGTTTCAGACATTTGTTCAACAAATGTTAGTGTTCAACATGTATTAGTGTTTTGCACTAGGTACTATGTGCTAAAAGTATAGTAAGGAATAAAACTATCTATTTGAGGGAATAAACAAAAAAGAATAAAGAAACAGATAAAATTCCTATTCCCCTTTAGGAGAAGCAACATAAAGTAAAATAACAGAATCTAGAAATAGAGAATAACAGGATAGAAGCCAAGTATTTACAACCATGATCAACCTGTCAAAATAAGCATCATCAGTAATGAGACACATTGAAATTATGTACCACCTGATAGGATGCAATGAAAAAATCATGCAGCACCCATTCTGTGATATTCTTGTCAAAGTGCATTCCCTGACTATAGTCACAAGGAAATCTCAGAAAACCTAAATGGAGGCATTCAAAACAGAAGGAAAGGAAAGGGAAAAAGTAAGGGAAAGAGGAAAGGAGAAGGAAGGGGAGGGGAGAGGGAAGGAGAAAGAAGGGGTGGGGGAAGGGAAAGGGAGAGGGAGGAGAAAAAGGAAGGGGAAAGAGAAGGAGAAAGGAAAGGAGGAAAGGAAGGAGAAGCAAAGCAAAGGAAAAAAAGAAAGAAGAAAAGATGGGCCAGAAATCTTGGTCAAGTTAGGTCTAAAGATCTCTTCTTAATAAATGGGCATTAAAAAGACCTGACGATCAAAGTCAATGTATGATTCTGAAATTGATCCTTTTGCTATGAAACATTATTGGGACTATTGGTGAAATTTTAATGGGGGCTTGAAAATTAGATGGTAGCAATATATTAACATTAATTTTCTGGTTTTGTTTGTTGTACTGTGCATGTATTGTGTGTGTGTGTATGTCACACATATATTACTGTAATAGGTTTGTAATATATAGAATCATCTATATGTGTGTATATACATATACAGACACACAATTTTGTTTGTAGAAAATATACACAAAAGCAGTGTGTTTCAACCTTGGCACTACCGCTTTTGACATTTGGGCCATATAATTCTTCGTTGTGGGCATTTCTTGTGAATTGCAGGATGTTTAGCAACATGCCTTCCCTTTAATAACTGAATGACAGTAGCACCTTCCCCACCCTATTCCCCAGGCTAACAACTAAAAATATCTTGAGCTACTATCAGATGTTTCCTGGAGGGCAAAACTGCCCCTGGTTGAGAATCACTCTACTAAAGTATTTGGAGATGACAGAGCATCAGGTTCATTTCTATATATTGTTAAAATATCTTTCAAAGTTGAAGGTAAAATTAAGACGTTTTCAGAAAAATTAAATGGGTTAATTTGTCACCAGCAAATCTTCACTACAAAACATGCTAACAGAAATTTTTTAGTCTGAAGGGAAATAACATCAAATCAAAACGCCAAATTAGAGAAAATGAAAAGCATAGAAATGATAAGTATATGAGTAACAGAAAATACTTTTTTTATCGTTCAATTTCGTTGAAGGGAAACTATTAAAATTTAAAAAGATATCATTTTATTGTGGGGTTTATGATGTACATAGAAAAATTTATACTAAAACAATCACAAAGGACATAGAGGGAATAAAGGAAATGTTACTGTCATCAGTTTTTTACATTGTATATGAAGTTGTAAAAAAAAACCTCCAAGTAAAATTTAGATTAGTTAACTATAAATTGATAATTACTGTAAGACAAATAACTCAGTAAAAAAGCTCTGCAACTAACTCATCTATGCAATTTAAAATGAGTACTTAAAACACAATTAAACAAAAATAAGAGAAGAGAAACAAGAAACAGATTGTACAGTTTTAAAAAGTAGCAACATGTTTTATTTAACATATTTATGAACTAAATTATCCAATTGTAAGGTAGAGATTGTCATATTAGACAAGAAAAGAAGACCCAACTAATGTTGTCTACCAGAAACATATATTCAATATAAAGACACAGATAGGTGAAAAGTAAACCTATACAAAAAGATAAACCATATACACAACAAGCATTAGGAAGCTTGTGTGGCTGTATCAGCAAAATACAATGTAAACTGGAAAAGGGGATGCATTATCAGAGAAAATGGGGGCATCTCATAATTATGAAATAACCAATTCATGAGAGGACAATAATATGCCAAAGGGGGCACTGACTTAATAATAAAGCCTCATAATTCATGAAGGAAAGTAAGCAGAACTGAAGGGAGAAATAGATAAATGACAGTAATAATTAAAGATTTTAACATCCCTTTGTTCATCACTGATAGAACAGGAAGACAAAACATTAGTATGGCTATAGAACATTTCAACTTCATTACAAATCACTTTGATCTTATTGACATTTATAAAAACTACACTTAAAATGCTAAATTTACATTGTTTTCTTGTGTATTGAAAGCATCACCAACATAGGCCAAATGCTGAGTTAAAGAGTAAGTTTAAACGGATTTTAAGTTTTAGATTTTATAAAATATATCCTCTGATCACAATAAAATTTAATTCGAAATCAATGACATAAGACATATCTAGGAAACCCCCAAATAGTTGTAAATCACATGAAACACTAACTCATAGTTCATAAAAGAAATCAAAAGATAATTTAGAAAAAATATAAAATAATCAAGGAAAACAGTATATTGAATAAACATCTGCACCTCGATGTTTATTGCAGCACTATTCACAATACCCAAGATATGGAATCAACCTAAGGGTCCAACAACAGATGAGTGGATAAAGAAAATATGGTATACAGGCCGGGCACGGCGGCTCATGCCTGTAATCCCAGCACTTTGGAAGGCCGAGGTAGGCGGATCACTGGAGGTCAGGAGTTCAAGACTAACCTGGTCAACACGGTGAAACCCCGCCTCTACTAAAAATATAAAAATTGGCTGGACATGCTGGTGCATCCCCAGCTACTCGGGAGGCTGAGGTGGAAGAATCACTTGAATCTGGGAGGCAGAGGTTATGGTGAGCCAAGGTCACGCCAATGCACTCCAGAGCAAGACTCCATCTCAAAAAAAAAAAAAAGAAATAAAGAAAAAGAAGAAAGAAAGAAAGAAAGAGGAAGGAAGGAAGGAAGGCAGGAAGGAAGGAAGGAAGGATAGATATATATATATACATGATGAAGTACTATTCGGCCATAAAAGAGAAGGAAATCCTGTCCTTCACAGCAATATGCATAGAAATGGAGGATATTATGTGAGCGAAATGAGCCAAGAAAAGAAAGTTAAACATTACAGCTTCTCACTCATATGTGGAAGCTAAAATATTTTGATCTTATAGAAGTTAAAAGTAAAACAGAGGATGCTAGAGGCTGGGAAGCGTAAGAGGAAGGGAGGGATGGGAAGAGATTTTTTAAAAGATTCAAAATTAAAGCTGGATCGGAGGAATAAGTTCTAATGCTCTATACTACTATGGTATGACAATGGTTAACAATAATATATTATATAGTTTCAAATAGTTAGCAAAGGATATTGAATGTTCCCAAAACAAAGAAATGATAAACATTTGCAATGATGGATATGCTAATTACCATCATCTCATCAGGGTAATTACATATATACACTATGTGTATTGAAACATCACTATGTACCCACAAATATGCACAATTATTATGTGTCAATTAAAAAATAAAATAAAATGGCAATAACACAGTTACATATTTGTGGTATAGAGTTAAATTGAGAGGGTAATTTATTACTTTAAATTCTTATATTGGAAAAATACATATGTTTAAAAGTCAATGAAAAAATAAGAAACAAATAAAATAAAACATAATTTGAAAAAAGTAAAATAACAGAGGTAATGAAAGAAATAAATGAAATTGAAATAAATAGTAAATTCACAAAGTGAAAAGTTCCTTTGAAAACATCAAGAAAGTTGTTACATACTAGTAAGACTAAGAAAGAAGGACTGATTAAAAGAAGAAATATCATTACAGAACCTATATATTTAAATGATAATAATTATTATGAACAATTCTATACTCACGAATTTGGCAGCTTAAAGTTCTTAAAAGAGACAAATTACCAAAGCTTATTTAAGAACAAATTGATAATGTGGATTTTTCAATGTCTATATGTATCAATATACTCTAGGTTTTCTAATCTATTGGCCTATGGTTGCTCATAGTAGCCTCTAATGATCCTTAGAAGTTCCACAAAGAAATTAAAAATGACTTGAAAAATTCACTGAAACAAATGAAAATGGAAACACAACATACCAAAACCTATGGGATACAGCAAAAAGCAGAAGAAGCAAATTTATACCTATAATTTCCAAGATCAAAGAAGTGAAAAACCTCAAATAAATAACCTGATGATACACCTTAAAGAACTAGAAAAGCATGAGTAAACCAGATGCAAAATAAGTATAGAAGAAAGGAAAGAATGAAGATAAGAGCAGAAATTAATGAAATTGAAATGAAAAAATACAAAATATCAACAAAATGAAAAGTTTGTTTTTTAAAAAGATAAACCAAACCTACTAACCTTTAGCCACACTAAAAAAAAAAAAAAAGACCTAAATAAATAAAATCAGAGATGAAAAAGGTGACATTATAGTTGATATTTTAGAAATTCTAAGGATCATTACAGGCTATTAGGAGCAACTATAGGCCAATAAATTAGAAAATCTAGAGTAAATGGATACATTCCTAGACACATACAACCTAGCAAGAATGAACGATGAAGAAATCCAAAACCTGTAAAGACCAAGAAGTAATGAGATGGAAACATAATAAAAAGTTTCCCAGGAAAGAAAAATCCAGGACCTAATGGTTTTACTCCTGAATTTTACCAAATATTTTAAAAAGAACTAATACCAATCCTACTCAAACTACTGTGAAAAATAGAGGAGGAGGGAGTATTTCCAAACTCGTTCTACAAGGCCATTATTACTCTGATACCAAAACCAAAGACACATGAATAAAACTACAGGGAAATATCCCTGGTGAACATTGACGCAAAAATGCTCAGCAACATACTAGCAAACTGCATTCAACAACACATTAGAAAGATCATTCATCATGACCAAGTGGGATTTATCCCAAGGATGCAAGGATAGTTAAACATATGCAAATCAATTAATGCGATGCATCATATCAATAGAATGAAGGACAAAAACCGCATGATCATTTCAATTGGTGCTAAAAAAGCATTTGATAAAATTCAACATTCATACATGATCATAATCTTCAAAAAACTGTATAGAAAGAACATACCTCAACATAATAAAAGCCATATAGAACAGACCCTCAGTTAGTATCATACTAAATGGGGGAAACTGAAAGCCTTTCCTCTAAGACCTGGAACTAGAAAAGGATGCCCACTTTCATCATTGCTATTCAACATAGTACTAGAAGTCCTAAGCAAATCCTAGTTGGAGCAATCAGTCAAAAGAAAGAAATAAAGGGACATGCAAATTGGAAATAAAGTAGTCAAATTATCCTTGTTTGCAAAAATTAGCAAATATATTACTAAAAACAATAATAAACAACCAACCTATGAAAACAGATGCAAAATTTAAAAATATATATTGCAAATAAATTCTAGTAACACATAAGATATATATATAATAATTAACTGGGGTTTGCTGTGGTAATAAAAAGTTATTTTAACATCCCCAAATTAACCAACAATTTGAATTAATAGCATTCAAAAGACAAATCCATATAGTGATCTGAATAGATGTAGAAAATTCTATTGACAAAATTATGTAAGTATTCTTGATAAAACTTCAGAGTAGACTAAGAGTAGAGGTGAACTTTTTTAATATATTAGAGAAAAGCATCTACATAATCATACATCAAATGTCATACTTAATGACTATATATTGAATGTGTTCCATTCAATATATAGTTGGGAACAAGGCAAGTATGTATGTCCTTGTAACTTATATTTAATGTACTGAGGTTTGAGCCAGTATTAAAAAGCAAGAAAAAAGAATGAAACACAAAATTTGGAAAAAAAAAACAGCCATAGAAATCTTTATGTACAGACAACAAAATCATTTGTGTATAAAATCATAAGAAATATATAAAACAAGACATAAGACCAATATGTGAAAATAAATTATATTTCTTTTAAAATTATATTTGCTATCATCAAAACATAATAAAATATATACAGTAATACTATCCTGAAAACTACTAAACATTTCTGAGAAAAATTACATAAGATCTAAATCCATGTTCATAAATTAGAAGACTCAATCATGTTAAGACGCCAGTTTTCAATTTGGTTATTAGATTAATTTCAAGCAAAATCCCATCTTCTATTTTGAAGAAACTGATAAGTTGTTTTAAAAATTTATATAGAAATGCACAGGACTTATAATAGAAAGATAAAAATCATGATGAAGCATGAATTGGGAGAAATTATTACTCTGGGCTGAATACTGGTCAAAAACTATCCTGAACAAGACAAAATGATATTGGTGTAAGGGAAGATAAATAGACTAATAGAAAAGAATAGAAATATACAAATACATATTTGGTCATTTAATTTTAAACAAAGGCACTAAGCAATTCAAATTGGAAAGAAAAATCTTTCCAATAAATGATAGAATCACTTCATAAGTCAAAAAAAAAAGAAAAAGCTTAAGCCCTATATCATAACACACAAATGAATTTCAGGTATACAATAAATTTAGGTGTATAGTCTAAAGCTATAAAGATTCTGATATAAAGCGTAGGAGAAAATCTGCCCCATCTTCAAGAAATATTTCTTAGGACATAGAGAATAATAAATTTATAGTAACAGGATTTCTTTAAAAATGAAAAAGAAATAATGATATGTCTCTATTAAGAAAATAAAACAGCAAGCTGCAGACTAGGATAAGATATTCAAGATACATATACCTGAAAAAGAGCTTGAGTATGTAAAGAAATCCTACACATCAATCAGAAAAAGTTATCCTAATTTCTAACTTGGACAGATACTTCAAAAAAAAAAGATATACGAATGGCCAAGATGCACATGAAACTACACCTAACATCTTTAATTTTGTGTAAATACAAATTAAAACCACAAAGAGTTACTACTTGCAGAATTGAAAAAATGACAACACTAAATATTGATGAACATACGATGAACAACTCAACCTCTCACAATTTGCTGATGGTAGACTAAAATAAATACACACTTGTGAAAACTAATCCAGTTTCTTACAAAATTAAACATAAAAATATTTCATCATTTATCAGTTTCACTCCTAGGCCTTTACACAAGATCAGTTGAATGCCCACAAAAAGGCTTTTACATACATGTTTATAGCAGTATTACTGAAAGTAGCAGAAACTTTGAAAAACATCAAATATTCATCCAAAGAAAAATATGTTTTTTTAAATGTGTATATCTACACAATGGAATACTACTTAGCAATGAAAACAATGAACCACACAATGGAATACTACTTAGCAATGAAAACAATGAAATATCAATACACACAACATGAATGAATCTCAAGAATATATATAAAACAAAAATAGTGACACACAAAATATATGAAGTCCAAGAACAGACAAAACTATTACATGGATATAGACCAGAAAGCATGTTGCCTCTTGGAGCTGGGAAATGACTGAAAGGGGACAAAGGGAACTTTCTAGGGGGTAGAAATATTCTGTATCTTGATTTAGGTTTTGGCTACATGAATTTATATATTTATGTGTGTCATTGAATTATATATCTACAATCTATGCATTTATACACAATTTCCCTCAATATATAATAATAAAAAACTAAAATTAAAAACTCAGTACTAGACTGAATCATCAAGAAAAGCATAATATTTAAGGTATAGGTCATGCAGGCATCAGAGATCTGCAGAATTGATGTCTTCAGAATTAAGGCATTTTGAAATACCATGAAACTTGAGACATATATCATGAAAAACCATCATGCTTTCTATTTCTTATGCCCTGGCAGTAACCTGTTTGGTTGCATGAATCAAGGATTTGATTCTACATGTTAATTTTATATTATTAGAGAATATCGCCAATTTTGCTTCTCATTCACATATCCATTTAGAATCTCACTATTTTTTTCACAGTAGGAAAGTACAATGCTTCATTTAAAATAGGCATTAGGACTAATTTTCCATAACTCCATAATATCAGGAAAAGATGACTAATTTTATATGCATGTTTGAATGTGGATTGCCATGGTTGTAATGGCTGGGGGAAAGTATACATTTTACAGATACTTTAAGGTAGATTAAACAAAATTTCGTTGCTTAGATATGACTATTCTCTCAAGAGCTGAAAAGCCAATGAAGTTTGAAGCTGTGCCTGTTCTTTGGTTTCATTCCATGGTTACTAGGAGCTAGTTAGAAAAGCATGTTAAAACTCACCTGTACAGAAGGTAAAGTCGGTCAACATCTATTAGCTATTGTCTTTATCGAATTTTACAGTTGCATTTTCTGAAATTTAGACTATAAAGACTGAAAACAGGATTAAAAAATTCAAATGAGTATCTTTTTAAAATAGTAACAGAGATGCTTCAATTTAATTACCATCAATTGGTATATGCAACGAGATTGCTATTTAATACATGTATTCACATTTCCAGGCAACATAAAATAGTGAACATCTTAGAGAATAGAAAAAAAATCGTGTGACTTGAAAGTGCTGAATTCTCATTTTAACCACCATATGTTAAGTCTAGAAACTAAACTCCTATTTTTTAAGCAAATGTTGAAAACATGTCTATTAACAGTATAAATTTGAGGCTTAAATTTTACAAAAATAAGCCTCATTTAAAATATAAACATTTTACAAAAATGTTTTATAAAAATAAGTGTTTTAAAAGTGAAAATAAGCATTGAAATATTAAGTTATTTATTAAAAATGAATTTAATTTCTAGTGTGATTGGATGAGAGAGTACTTGCTTGTTTTTGCTTTTCCTGGTTGAAATTTTCAGAATCTTTTAAAAATCAAAACTATTGAACCCATGGAGATAGAGAATAGAAGGATAGTTACTAGAGGCCAGGAAGGGTAGTTTGGGGAGGGGGAAGAGGGGAGGAAGTGGGAATGTTTAATGGGTCCAAAAAGCTAGAAAGAATGAGTAAGACCTATTACAGTATTTGATAGCACAGCAGGGGGACTAGAGTCAATCATTTAATTGTATATTTTAAAATAACTAAGAGTTTAATTGGATTGTTTGTAACACAAACGATAAATGCTTGAGGGGATGCAGACCCAATTTTCCATGATGTGATTATTACATATTTCATGTTTATACCAAAATATCTCCTATACCCCATAAATATGTATACCTATTATGTACCCACAAAAACTGAAAATAAAAAAGGAAGAAATTTTCAATATCTTTATTTGTTCTGCAAATGCTAAAATGTATTGTTCTGATTACAGAACTATTCATACTATAACTGTTTATAGAATAATTTAATTGGTTATAGCACCTCTTTTTTTTTCCTACTTGCTCATAGAACACTGGTACCTATTCTTGACTCAAACCATGAAGGGGTTGGAAAGCGACAGAGTAAGTGCATAAATAAACCTTCTAACAGCAGAGATTTCAGGAAAAAAAATAACCATAGTGAAATTGGAAGACTTAAGGAAAGCTATTATGTTACTCTGAGGAATACAAATCAATAAAAGTTCATGGCTGAAAGGTTCTCACTGATTGGAACATACTGGTAGCACAGTAATTTCAAAACCCAATGTAGGGTTTGCCAACTACACCACATTTTCTGATTGTATCCAATAAAATGTTATGACCTAGAAATGGTTATCTCTAGTATAAATTTCTTGAATGACTTTATTTTTTATTGTAACATGACTAAGCTGATATCAGGACACTTTAAATAAGGATTCAAAGAACTGTAAGATCCTTTTAAGTTAAAATATTTCAAAGTCAACTTCATGAATGTTGTTGTTGGAAAGCACACTCATCATTCAGAAGTGTGAAGAATAATACAGACAATAATCTGACTACCTTTCTAGAAGTTGGTTAAATTTTCCATTCTTTAGACTGCCAACCAATCCTCTGTTAATTCTTTAGCTGTATCTAAACCAGTGGAAGCTGTTGTAAATCTCTCCATGCTGTAATCCCATCATAAAGTCTTATTGTGTCTTGGTATAAGGGCAGAGTAATCACTTTTCTAAGATGTACCTTAATTTCTCATGCTTCTTTAAAAAAATTACCCTTCTGTAAGTGCTGCTGATCAATGTATTTGCCATATCAACTATGATATTTTAAATGAAAAAAGGAATAAAATTCTTCCAAGAAAAAGTCTCATCCACATCAAGCATTATACCCCCAGATGAGAAAGAGAAACCCCCCAAAAAACTTGAAAAGTTAGAGACTGAATATCAAAGTTTCTTGAATAAATTTTTAACATCTTTCAATTTAATATCAACTTACTATTTCTATAATTTTTTAAAAATTCCATAATTTACCATTCAATACATTGGTCAGTCTATGTAAACACTTGTACTTACCATTCAGACTGTATACAAGGATGAAAACTGTTAATGAAAAGTAGCATATAGAGATGAATAATACTAATAAACTACCACACTAGAATGTAAACTACACAAGGGCAGACTTCAGTTGTTTGGTTCAGTGCTGTTGTTCTGAAGCCTAGAATGGTGCCTGTCCTAGAGTAGGCACTCAGCAAATATTTCATAACGAAAATATCTGAAATGAAGCTCTCCCAGTTCTGCAATATCTCATTAAAGTATAGGCATGCTCCACATAACAATGTTTGGCTAACAATGGATCACATATACCACAGTGGGTCCCTTAAAGTTATAATGGAGCTGAAAAATTCCTATTACTTGTTGAGGTCCTAGCTGCAGTATCATTACAGTTCAAACATTATTCACATGTTTATGGTGAGGCTGGTGTAAATAAACCTAAAAAGAGAAGACATACTCCCAAGAAAATGCAGTGATGTGTGCAGCTTTTGCAGGTCTCAACAAGCTCCTTAAAAAGTTTTAAAACATGGACTCCAACACCAAAAGATTTTCCTTAATAGAGAGAAATGTTCATGATGCATTATTTGCTTACAAGCAAATCTATAAGAAGAGAAAAAAAAAACAAGTAAACCACCATGGACATATTTCTAAAAAAGTGACACCTAGGATCTTCCAGAAGTATTTTTAAAGAAGGTACTATTATCATAGGAAATGAAAGCTCTATACATGTCATTTGCCCTGACGACCTTTCAATGGAATAAGATGTGGAAGTGAAAGACGGTGATATTGATGATCCTGACCGTGTGTAGGCCTAGGCTAATGTGTGTGTTTGAGTCTTAGTTTTTAACAAAATAACATAAAAATATAATTAAAAAATAATTTTTTAATTAGAAAAAAGCTTTTAAAGTAAGAATATAAAGAAAAAAATTAAAACAACTAATGCTTGTAAAGTAAAAATGTCACAGTGAGCTAAGGTTAATTTTTTAACTGTTGGTGGGACTGTAAACTAGTTCAACCATTGTGGAAGTCAGTGTGGCGATTCCTCAGGGATCTAGAACTGGAAATACCATTTGACCCAGCCATCCCATTACTGGGTATATACCCAAAGGACTATAAATCATGCTGCTATAAAGACACATGCACGCGTATGTTTATTGCGGCATTATTCACAATAGCAAAGACTTGGAACCAACCCAAATGTCCAACAATGATAGACTGGATTAAGAAAATGTGGCACATATACACCATGGAATACTATGCAGACATAAAAAAGGATGACTTCATGTCCTTTGTAGGGACATGGATGAAATTGGAAATCATCATTCTCAGTAAACTATCGCAAGAACAAAAAACCAAACACCGCATATTCTCACTCATAGGTGGGAATTGAACAATGAGATCACATGGACACAGGAAGGGGAATATCACACTCTGGGGACTGTTGTGGGGTGGGGGGAGGGGGGAGGGATAGCACTGGGAGATATACCTAATGCTAGATGACGAGTTAGTGGGTGCAGCGCACCAGCATGGCACATGTATACATATGTAACTAACCTGCACAATGTGCACATGTACCCTAAAACTTGAAGTATAATAATAAAAAAAAAAGAAAACGTATTCTAAATTTATTGTAGCCTAAGTGTACGGTGTTTATAAAGTCTACAGTAGTGTACAGTAATGTCTTTGGTCTTCACATTCACTCACTACTTACTGACTCGCCTAGAGCAACTTCCAGTCCTGAAAGCTCCACTCATGGTGGAGTTCCCTATATGAGTGTATTTTTTATTTACCTTTTAGATTTTATTTTTACTGTATTTTTCCATGTTTAGATCTGTTTACTTACACAAATACCTACCATTGTGCTACAATTGCCTACAGTATTCAGTACCTCTGGGGCACTGGCTGTATCTCATCTCTAATGAGATGTGTTTAAAGTCTTTTTTCTGTCAGAAACAATACTTATCTCCATGTTACTTGCCAGGTATCAGCTCAGACCTCACCTCTCTGATTGCTCAAGCCTCGATTATAGGCCCTTTTATGTGCATTTGTAGTGCCTTCCATATTCTTTATCATCATATTGCATCTTGTTTACATACTCACTTATATCCTGCAGAAGGCTCAACTCCAAAGAGGCAGGTATGTGTCTAGCTTGTATTTCCTGGACTCAATATTTCTTTCTTCAATGTATAAAAAATGACTATTCATATTCCATGAAATTGTTAACAGTTAATAAGGATAGAGCCCCAAACAAAAATAAATACCAGGAAATGCAAATAACACAAAACAACCTTTTTCTTGTGTAGATCAATGGTGGAATCTAAAATACAACAATCATCTTTTTTTCTACATATGTAGAGACATATCTAACAAATGAAGCTTGAAAAGTCACAAAGGAAAAGCACTGGCATTTGTGTGAGGTTAGACTTTTAAAAAATAGATCTTTGAAAAAAAAGGAAGAGGACCTAATTCTATAAAATATAGATGAGAATATTTGAAGTTCTTCATGAAAATATGACATACTGTAATCTAGAGACATCCCTAAAAGTTTGAAATACAATAGAATAGGGAAGATCAGACTTCTTTTCAACTAGTATAGGAAACATGTCTTTTATTACATATAGGTGTTGCAGAGGGCAACATTAAATCCCTTTAGTGGGTTTATTAAGGGCAGAGGGCAGCATTAAATCCCTTTAGTGGGTTTACCAACCTTGATATTATTGACAGTTTGAACCAGAAAACTCTTTGTTGTGACAACCAGGAATGGCTCCAGACATTAGCAAATGTCACCTGAGGGGTAAAATAGTCCCAGGTTGTTTTATAAATTTCAGGCAGATTTGGCAAAAAGCATGGATGTCAGAGATATAGTGATGGTTTTATTGTTAATTTAATGATACTAATTATCATCAGCTAATTATATTAATTGATGTTGGTTATCAAAGGTTAAGCATTGCTAACCTTTCAAGGTGAGAGTCATGGTATCTCAACCAAATACTAGTGTTGTAACTTTCAAACAATTATTGATCTGAAAAACCTCCGTTGAAAGATACAAGTAATCAGCATTTAAAAGATTATAATTAAGTGCCAGTTTGATATACTGGGAGAAGAAAGAAATCTCAATACCTGCCTCATCTTTGCCTCTAGTCTGTGAGACAGTGAGCAATAACCTTTACAATTTTGTCCCTCACTTTTCTCATCTTTACACTGAAGGTATGAATTATTTCTTAGTCCCATAATAGCTCTAATATTCCATGGTCACATGACATCATTTTGTGTATATCAGAGTTAGTAAAATAAAAATGACCACTCTTTTCTGATACATGCATCATAATGTACCACAGATGATATTAAGCATAAAAAGATTTTTATAGATTATGTAATTTTTGGAGGTTTCCCTCGATCAAAAGCTCAATAGCCATTTGAAGGTACCTGAAATTCTATCAGAAACTCATATTTCTTTGAGTTAAAGCAACTCTTTTCAAACTGTGTTCTGTGGATACTCAAGAGTATACATTAAAGTTCAGTAAGCCGGTAAGACTCTAAACCTCCAGTAATTCAAACAGAATACACAAACTTTAATAATGTTATTTATTGAGGTTTGGCCAAAAAAAAATCTCTGAATATAGAATTTGGCTAGATATGAAAAAATACTGGAAGGTATAAAATATATTTTTAAATGTTCATAGAGCTATTAAACCACGTGTGGTTTATTGGCAATGGATGGAAATTCACTCATCCTTCTTTCCAAGGCAGCCTGGTGAGGGAGGGCAGTGCCTCTATATAGCAGTGTCTGGGATAAACAAGCCTGGAAAGTCAGACACAAAGCCTTGGTAATTCTGGGTGTAGAAATGCATGTCATGTCATCATACTAAAAGGGCAGGTAGTAGTGGGCTGAAAATTGCATGGTTTTGAAACAGGCATGTATGTGGAAACCCAGCAGAAGCAAATGCATTCTTTATTAGATCAGAAAAAGAGCAATGTGTTTGCAGCACACAGGTAGAAGGAAAGAGTTGCAGAGATACTAGGGTAAGCTAAAGGGGCTGACCACCTCCTTTCAATAAGCCAAAACTAATTTTTCCACGGCAGTTGTCGATCTGCCCTCTCACCTCTAAAAAATAGTTCACATTTAAGCATTCTGGGATTCAAGATAATAAATAAAATACGAGCAATCTATATTATATTAAGTTTCAGAAATAACCATACTGCATAAAATATACTTTCAGGAATATCTGATTTTTTAAAGTTACTCATTATACAAAGCTAAAATTGTACTATCTTGTAAATTATTTGCGTAACAATTGACTTTCAAGTACATAGAACTCCTCATGAATCAATCATCAGAATGTCTCTGGCTCAGAAGCAAGATGATACTATTCAGAATCTATTGGAAAGCTTTACTACTATGGTTTGAGAGATTAATTCAAATATCGTATTTCCCAAATATAGTTAACAACAGATATACCTCACTTATGAAAGAAGCAGAATCACTTTAGAACATCCTCTTTTCTACCCTCTTCATTGTTCCCTTCTACTTTCTCTTTCTCCTCTATTTCCAGTTTCTGTTCTTCTAACTCTTATAGGCCCACCTCCCTTCAGAAAACCATCCTTTAGGCTGGAGCCCCTCCCAGGTCCAGTCATATTCCCATAGGTATGTCTATCCCACTGCATTTACTGTAACTCTTCCCTCACTAGCATAGGTTTCTGTGGACAGGATTAAGCCGACTTACATTTTAAATTCCTAGTTTCCACTACTAGTTTTCGGTATGCGAGAACATCCAATAAATATTACTTCAAACAATAATTAAATAAACCAACTGTAGGCCAGGTTTATCCAACACAGGAACTGAGAATACACTACAGGCTTGTGCTTCCTTCCTAATAAAATAGAGCAAGTTATGTTTTCAAGGTGAGAGTAAGGGACAAAATTGACATTCAAATGAAAACTGGCATGTAAATGCATGGTCCGAAATTAGTTCCAATTAATAATTATGATTTTTATGTGAAAAGTTTAGGCCTGAAAGGCAGCAGCCCATTCCATCACTGTGAACTGATTTTTATCACTTTAGAAAGAACAGAAAATTACATGACATTATTACATAATAACAGCCAAGAGCCACATCAATACCTCGCTATTAAAAGCATTTTGCTCAACTACAATGATCTTTTCCAAAGTGATGGAGAGTACAGAAATTGAGGCTGTATTTTCTACTATAAGACCATAAATAATATTCTTCAAAAATTAGATTTATGGTCACTAAAAGGTATGTATTTTGAAAATAAAATGAGTTAAAATTTCCTGTCAAAATATGTCTAACTTTAGAAACTAATCTCAGAGATCAAGTAACCAGGAGATGTAATTTCTGATTATACAACCAAGAAGAATAAGGAAAGTTTTGTTTCATTATTCTATTTCTAAATAATCTGGTGTCTCTTCCTGTAATATTTACTAAATACATATTTTAACCACGGATGAGGTTTCTCATTATTCTTTTGATCTTAATTACTTCTTATTCTTAGGTTAGAAATTTGGAACCAAAGTAGAAAGATTACATCAAGTCTTGTGGAAAAGGAACACTTCTCCCCTCTAAACCAGAAATGTAACACTCAGCAGCTGAGAGGGAGCAAACCATGCCTAATTCTACATGGTTGCTCTTTGACAGCATTTTTTTCAGTTGAACTCTATGATGTACTTACAGTAAAGCCCATAATTTTTCTTATCTATGTGTATGTGTACATACACACACACACACACACAATTATAATAAAGATACATATAGAAACCTATTTAACAGCCATCCTTAAAGGAGTCTTTTAAAAGTCACTACATCTAGTAATTATTACTAATCATCAACGATATTTTCACACCCATTTCTTTTTTTTTTTTTTTTTTTGAGATGGAGTCTTGCTCTGTCGCCCAGGCTTGGAGTGCAGTGGCGCCATCTCGGCTCACTGCAAGCTCCGCCGCCTGGGTTCACACCATTCTCCTGCCTCAGCCTCCCGAGTAGCTGGGACTACAGGTGCCCGCCACCGCACCCGGCTAATTTTTTGTATTTTTAGTAGAGACGGGGTTTCACTGTGTTAGCCAGGATGGTCTCGATCTCCTGACCTAGTGATCCGCGCACCTCAGCCTCCCAAAGTGCTGGGATTACAGGAGTGAGCCACCGTGCCCAGCCCGCACCCATTTCAGTTGCACAAAATTATAATACATTCTCTCTTTGAACTTAATCTTCACTCCAACAATCTAATTTTTTCCAATAATATTATCCATTTTCCCAAAACCTCTTCAATTCCCATAAACATTGAAAACTATTATCTCACCCTAGAGTACCTTCAACATTTTCTGCAGAGGATTTGAGATGAGACTGGCCAATCTGATGAAAGAAAATGGGAGAGTGCTTGAAGGAGAAATAACCATTGACAATACTTGCAGAGGTATCCAAGTATTTAGAAATTACACTTAGTTCCTCCTTCCTTTTTGTCTTCAGTAAAAAAGCCATTCAAAAGCCAATGATAGACAAGCCTAGTCATACTAGTACTTACTTCTCTCGGTGAACTTGCACTTCACAAAGGATCTAGGAGCCCTAAAGCTGCTTAGCTTATTATAAAGGTATACTTGACCATCAACTTCAGTTTACATGCTTATATCAATTCTAAGGAAATTCTAAGTTACTAAACCATAACCAATAAAAGAATAAAAAGTTCAATAAAACCCTTATGTACAACTCAAAATTGTTACGCTGGCAGAATCAGGTTAAACTAGCATTTAAGGCGGTACTATGATAGTGTATTAGTTGCTGTTTTTTTTTCTTCAACATAAAGCATGCAGTTTAGGATTATATGTTAATTGAGAAGTTGTAAAATCAATATGACTGTATATTAGAATCTGGTGTGTTTGTCTGATTTAGCAGGTCATATGGGCATGCCAGGGTATATAAACTAGGGGATATGTAAAGTGTCTTACCGCCATATAGGTACTTTTCAGGTCATGTGGAGGGAGCCCCACAACTCTTTCTGCAAAGAAAGTGTCCCATATGTTCATTTAATTTGCATAGATTTCACTATATGCCTTTCTGCCAAAAGGAAAGAAAATGGAATAGGGATGATGTAAATGATGATGGTTAAAGCCCCAGTTAAAGTATTAACTATGATCCAATTTTAAGTGTGATCTAATAATCCCCCATGAGGCACCTACTATTATCTCCATTTTACTGATGAGAAAACAAAAGCTTAGGTAATTTAAACAACTCTTTTCAAATCATGCAGCTAGTAAGTGACAAATCTTACATTTTAACCAAGTTTTATCTCTTCAGGAACGATAACAACACTTAAAAGGGTTATTATTAGGTTAAGTTACGAAATACAGGAAAGGCACTCAGACACGGTAATACTATTTAATATTTTTATTACTGCTTGGTACTGTTGAGGGAATGGTTCTTTTCTCCACAAACTCTTGCAGTTGGAACAGAGTTGCAGAAGAAGAGCCAAAAGCCCTTGTCTGTGCCTTCCTGGTTATAGCAAACTATATTTACTCATGAAAGTTAAATGACTAAATAACTGTGGATTATAGTTAATAATACTGTACTGTATACCTCAAATTTGCTAAGAGAGCAGATCTTAAGTGTTCTTAACAACAACAAAAAGGTAACTATGTGAGGTGGTAGATCTGTTAGTTAACTTGATTGTGGTAGTCATTTCACAATGGAAATGCATATGTGTATCAAGCCATTAAGCAGTACACTTTAAATATGTACAGTTTTGTCAATTATATTTTAATAAAGCTGAAAAAAGACTAAACGATTAAAAAAAAACCTTACTGATTTTTAGGTTAAAGGCAAATCTAACAGTTGTGTGTCAAGATGTGACACTAAGAAGCCAATGAATTAAAAAGTTGCACTATACTTAAAACAAAAATAGAAACATAAAGAATCTCAGTGTTCAAAAATTAAAGGCATTAATTATTACAGTATAAAAAAGGAATCCATGAGCTTATTACTAGCATTCTTTTGTGGTGGAGAATCACTGTATAGTAATTATTAGAGCTACCCTAAAATGACAATTCCATATTTTGCTAGGTTATATGAATAAGTCCCGTGTTTTTCAGATCTTCTCCCCAGAAATGTTTTATTACAACTCTTCAATATTAAAAGACATGGGTTTCCAGAAAATTACACTTGATATTTTTCTAACACAAATTAACTTAAAAATACACACAGCAAAATTAGCTGGGCATGGTGGCGGGCACCTGTAATCCCAGCTACTCAGGAGGCAGAGAAAGGAGAATCGCTTGAACCTGGGAGGTGGAGGTTGCAGCAAGCCGAGATAGCACCACTGCACTCCAGCCAGGGTGACAGAGTGAGTGAGACTCTGTCTAAAAAAAAACAAAAACAAAAACAGAACAAAATAAAAAACACACAAGGATCAAAGGTTATTCCAATATAGAGGTGATGGTTAAATTTCCAGGACTTTTTAATTCACATGTGCACCCTTCAGTGGATGGTTACCCTTGAATGCAGAGAACTGCCTCCCTGAGGTCTAGATTCCCACTCAGTGGCCACTGCAGAGTTTGTTCATAGCCATTGCCTAGTTGCTGTACGGTTCTACAGCCCAGGCCTTTGGCTCAAGAGAAGACTCGGGTGCAATTCACACTCTAGAGGTCTCCCTGGAATCAGGCTGAACCTCATCTCCATCTGATCTTGTTCCCCTCCTTGTCTTGATTCCCTAGTAAGGTTAGAAGTTTCCGCAGAGAGCACACATGCACAAGAATTCCAATCTCAGCTTTCAGGGAATCAAAGCTAAAAACAAACTCATGATGATCTGCTTTTCAAATCCATCAACCTCTTTTCAATCTTCATCCTTCTTCGACTTTATGTAATTTCCAAATTTGTTGATTACCACTCCTTTTCCTTAAACTCTGTTCTTACAAAATCTCTAAAATAAGATTTTCATATCATTTTCCATACATCCCTTTCATTCTTTCTCACTGCACTTTGCTGGAGCATCTGTTCCATTCTCTTATCCTTTACCTCCTGTCCTGGTAAAATCTCATCTACCATGAGACTTCACATCAGATAAACGCAAAACTCTCAAATATACATTATTTTCCCATACCTAAAATAGTTTTGTTCACAGACCCAATCCTCATCCTGTGTTCTTTATCTATTAAAGGCATAACTATCCCTGAAGCCACTGAACCTTGAAGGCTTGGTGTTCACATTCATCTTTAATCCTTCATATGCTCTCTTACTTCTTATACCAGTTAGTGATCAAGTCACCGCAACAGGAGCTACATTTTACTTTGGCAGCTGTTTCCCCCTTTTCTTTAACATTGCATCTGGAAAGCTTATGCTTCCCTAGAAACATTCCAGATGCATCCAAAGGTATCTCCCTTCCTCCAATCTGCTGGGCCAGCCACCTACTCTTCATACAGCCACTACAGTTGTTTTCCAAAAGATGTCTTCTGGCTCTATGACCCCCCTATTTAAGAGCTTTGCTGGTATACACATTTTCTATAAGTAATTTCTCAGTTGTTTTAAAACAGTATCTGAAGACTATTACAAGGTGAGGGAAATCTTATTTTTCCTCTGTTTTTGCCAAGCTTCCCAAGACCCCAGACAATACTAGTTTATTTGCCATTACGTACATATATCACACCTTTGTACATTTCAGCAGCTGTGTTCATGTTTGTCCCTCTTCCTGTAGTGTCCCTGATCCTTCACATACTGACCAACTTGACTACTTTTGTGGCTAGATTCCAGTGACTCACTTTTAATGTGATATTTCATCCAACATATTCTCCCTCCCTCATGAATCTGTAATACATGTTTATATCTCCATTATGAAAGTTTAATATTTTGGCTTATTTGTAATTTTGTGTGTATATTTGTCTTTCTTAGAGCGGTGACTATAAATACTTAGAAACATGAGGATCATTAATCAAGTTTTATGTTTCTTCTGGTGTGTAGCACAGACAAAATCGTTGCTCAGCAAAAGTTTAGAATACAATTCTAAAATTGTGACTTGTTACACAGTCAGTTAACATTCATGGCTATGGCAGATTATTCAAATAACCGTTAAAAATAGAAAAAAAGGAGACACTTAGATGCTAAAAGTAAAACAGTCATTGAAATATTGCCAATTAAAATCACATGACTCGTAACAAAAAAGACAATTCATATTGTTAAACTATTTTCATTTTAGGGTATTAAAAGGATTCCATTTATCTGAATAATAAAATAAAATGTATCCTGAAAGATAATTCAACTTTAAAGAGCACGTCTCATTTTCAATATTTGCCTCAGATCAGATGTTTTAGAAATCTCAAACAACATGCATAAAACTAAAATGTAGGCTGTTACTGAGAATAGAAATTAAATAACATTCTTTTTTTTTTTTTTTTTTTTTTTTTTGAGACGGAGTCTCGCTGTGTCTCCCAGGTTGGAGTGGTGCAGTGGCGCGATCTCGGCTCACTGCAAGCTCCGCCTCCCAGGTTCATGCCATTCTCCTGCCTCAGCCTCCCAAGTAGCTGGGACTACAGGCGCCCGCCAACACGCCCGGCTAATTTTTTGTATTTTTAGTAGAAACGGGGTTTCACCGTGTTAGCCAAGATGGTCTCGATCTCCTGACCTCGTGATCCGCCCGTCTCGGCCTCCCAAAGTGCTAGGATTACAGGCGTGAGCCACCGCGCCCGGCTAAATAACATTCTTAAGCATCTAGTTTGCCCTGTGAGTTTCCTTAAAAATATCAGTGTTCAATATTAGAGAAGCACAATTCAAATTATAGAATTTTTAAGCATTTAAGGACAACATATATTTAATGATAAGCTTTTGAAATAAAATGTTTCATTCTTTCACTCTTTACCTCTCCTTTATTTCTTTTATGCCATCAATCAGATAAATGTCAAATGAATTGCCTTGTTTCTAAGTATATGTTCTCATTCCTTTGCTCTAAACCCAAATATTTATGAACTAGAAAAGAAACCCTTCTTGAATGGTAGAACATGGTTTAATTCTGTAAGACTTAAGAGTTGCATGGCATGGACAAAAACCAAAGAAAGTGTCAAAATTCCTGTACTACAATAAAGCCGTGTCTATGCAGATATGGGGAAAAGGTAGAATTGAAATTCAAACTTACTTCAAAATAGTTTATCTTCCCTGGCACAAACTGAAACTTTTATGATGCTGTGGAGAGTGTGAATCACTACTAAGTCCAGTTGACTAAAATATCTCAAAAACACAGTACATCTTGACACATTAAATAGAACCTCAAACTGCCCATATGCTCCAAGACTCACTGAAATAGTTTGTCAGTTGTACTTGTGTTTGTTCTACTTGAGATAGCCCACTTGCTTTCTTTTCTTCCTTCCTCCCATCCTTTCTTCTGTTCTTATTTCCCTCATTTTTCCTTTCTTCCTTTTTTTTCAGTTGGTTTTCTAAGCTAGTCTAAATTACCAATATAAATCCAATGCCTTCTTATTTATTTGCAAAGAGCAAATACCATTAATGTTATTCATTGGCCACCTTGTTAAAGCTGACTACTTCTACAATGATTGAATTTCTATCTATAATCATTAAGTGGGGCAACAGAACGAAGAAGACATAAACAGCATTTAGCACGTATATTACTTTGAAAAACAGATGAATTTTTTATGTAAAATGCTACTGAAGCACTCTCTTAAACGTAACGATTCAATTTTCTACCTCGAACCCAAAAGACCTCTTTGCTGGCCTAAGATATTTTTCTTTATCTAGCATGCCTGATGTTGCAGGTCTCTTTCTCACTCCATATTCTGCAAGACATGCTCAGATTCTCTTTCCATTCAATTTATGACATGATTCATTGAATGCTACAGCCTACTTGAGGATTTTTAAAAAATATTTTCTAGCCCTGCAGTAGAATTTCCGATAAGAAATGTAGTGATGACCCTGTCAGCTAAGTATCCTAATTCATCTGTCTGTGTGAAAAAGCTCTTCCCTCCAGGCCCCTTCGGAATTCATATATAAATTGCTCTCTATGTATTAGCATCTGCAGTGAAACTAGCTTTCACGCTCTTTGAAAAATAAAAAAAAAATCATATATTTTACAATTCCAGAAATAGTAGCTAACAATCAATTCAAAGTATTATTATTTCATTTTTTCTGGTTCTCAGGGATATATCCACAGTTATGAGATGAAAGACAGTATACTAACAAAGCATTAAAAATGAGACACATTTTTCTAGACTCACATTGTACTGTTACCAGTAGCATTTTTCTAATCAATATAATAGTTAACCGTAATTCAGGAATATGTCCCAAGTGTTTAAAATGGATACCTGAATGTTTGTAAATATTTAAAGATCTAAACATGTTTTTTAAAAAAAAAAAAATAAAAATAGGAACTTATGTCATTGTGTGCTAGCATTAGAAATTTTAAAAATTAAGTAAAGTGCCTCCAGTAGCATATCTGGTATGGCGTAAATAGAAAATGCATTGTAAGTATGAAATTACATGGTCAAATGTGATTAACTTGCAGGGGAGGGGAACAAACAGGGCCAGTTTCCCTTGTAGTCTCATATTTTGTTTGTGTAATCAATCGGCCTGTTTTATTCTCAGAAGGTTTTAAGAAAGGGCATTCTGACTGACTGCAAGCTTCATTATATCCTCAAACCGTTAATACAGTTTTCCCAGGATTTATAACCAGAGATGGACATTGACAGCTGCACCTTCCCTAACCTGATTTAGCTAGCCTACTACATCATCCACATATACTTTCATTAATTCAACTGTTATTGAGTATCTCCTATGTATCAGGCACTGAGCTAAGTGTCAGATAATACAGATGGTTGCTAAAGAGAAAGATGAATAAGTCAAAGTGCCGGATCTCAAAACTTCTAAATCTAGTAGGAGAGACAAAAATGTGTAAGTATGGTGATAATAAAAAATATAATATTTCATTGAAAAAAGTAGAAAATTTTTTTTTAATGTTGAAGCACTTCAGTAAAGAGTTGCCATTAAGCTGGACCCTGTCAGTTAAATAGAGCTTTCACAGCCAGGGATGGGGGAAACGAAGTCTAATTCATTCACATAGTTTGAATTATTACAAAAAGGAATGTATATGTAGATCTTAGGAATTGTGACTAATTCCTCATTGCTAGTGCATAAGGAAAGAAGAATCTAGAAGAGTAATTATAAAAAGCAAGTTCCAGACCATGATAGATGCCTTCGTTGCCATGATGTCTAACAGCATTGCCATGGAATTGTGTATGAACTTGGTATTAGTAAATTCTGAGACCTTGTTGATGATACTGAATGATACAATTTGAAAAAAAATTATTAGTCATCCTTCTTTTCATGACTTATAATTCATATTAATTGAAATGATTACATCTTCTCACATTTCTAAAGCTCTTATTTCAGCCCCAGGCCAACACAGTAGGATAATGGGTATGCAAAGGTTCCTAAACAGAAAAACTGGATTGTCCTCCCAAAGCATTGCAGGATGAAGGACTGTTTGAACCAGCTTATTTTCTCTATAGTCAGGAAACTCTTTCTGAACAATTTGCTTGATAATTTTTTTTAATATTACATATAAAATATTACATTTTTAAAATATATAACATTAACCACCTGTTAACTACAGGTGATTAACTTTCAATGTTATGTACATAAAAAGAGAGTACTAGCCCTACTATTCTACCCTCTACTCCAAAGCGGTTGCAAAATAATATTGTTCAGTGCTGATATGGAGGCAGAGAAATGGGTTTTCATGGATTGCCAGTGAGGGTGTAAATTACTAGAACCCTTTGGAAAATGTCTGTTATCATACTGAAATTCCAAGAAATATGAATATAAATTTTAAAATCTGAGCAATCCTTAATGAAATCCCAATATGTTTATAAAGATAGATGCTGTTATTTACTATGCATTGTAATGTGGGACTAAATAAATAAACAAGTGTTCATTAAGATGGAAATGACAGAATCAATTTGGCAAAAGCATATTATTGAATATTATGAAATTACCAAAAAATGTGAGTTAGATATTTACACATTAGCTCACTGGAATGACTACTACATGCTGTTGAGGAAGAAAATAGAGTTTAATGTGTGCAGTATACAGAGTAATCATATTTTTATAAATACTATCCTTAACAAAAACCTTGAGTATATACGTATGTAGGAGCATGGGAAACATGGTTCAGGGCTCTATTTCATGATGTTATTTTGAGTGCTCTTGAGATACATTTTTAAAAACTAGGAAAATGAAACATACACTAGTATTTTATTCCTAGCTTAAACTCTACTCTGTAATAGAAGTAGAAAGAACAATTGTCTCACATTCCTTATGGAAGATGTTTACCATTCTCCCTGAGCTTCTGACCTGCTGCTGTCCCTTGCATAGCGACGACAGTGCCTCCTAACTCAGGGAAAATATAAAAGCCCCAGCGTAGGGAATTTGTCACCTTCCTACCCACCAAGGTACAAAGTTGTCCATATTCATTTCCAATCTTTTCATCTATTCCAGGCTGTCTTCTCCCCACTCAAAGTTATTGTCTACTTCTGTGCACCCTGGGTTCTTCTCTCATCCCTTTTCTCCTTGATTTTAACATTTACATCTCTACTCAACTCTTCCCTTCACTCTGTAAACATGCATAATATTTCTCCTCTTAAAAACAAGATCAAGAAACAAAACGAAACAAAACACATTACTTCCTTTAACCTTGTGTTCTTCTGTAGGGGTGTTATGAAAATTATTGAATAATCAGTATGGCACCATGGGTACAAGAGCCTGAGTAAGGGCCTGAAGCACCTATTGAGCTAAGAGTGTCCTTTTAGTTACTGGATCCTGGGGATGTCACTGAGTTCTGTGGAGCATAGAGGGCAGCGGGGATGGCAGGGGACACTGGGAAAACTTGGGACAGTGGCTGTCTACCATGTTTTCTATTGCAATTAATACCCAAACTTTCAGTTTCATCCACAGTTTATCACTGAAATGTTTTTCTTTTGAAGTATCCACTGATCTTCTAATTGCGGAAACAACAATCAACTCTTAAATATGCCTGATGATTGGGCTCTCTGCTCCATTTGTCACTTGACTGTTGAATGCATTCTATCTATTCAGAATGCTGTTCTCTCCATTTTCATCTACGACATCTGCTGCTCTGCTTCAGTGATTCAAAGGCCTCATCTTCAGCTTTCTGGATTTCTGATTCTAAAAACACTCCTTGGATGACCCCCACCCATGTCATTTTTTACCAATCACCATGACATCCAAATTCATGGCTTTACCTCTCATTTCTCTCTTGAGATTCAGACTTTCAATCCTGGGATTCATCCTCAGCCATATTAGAGCCAGCTTCTACTTTGCAGTGAAGGCAACTGGAGCTCAGAATATGAGTATGACATAATAATTTTCTAACTTCAAAAAAGTTATTACTATGAAATACTATGTAATAGATTTAGACATGTTGAAAAGTTAAATGACAGCAGAAGTTACACAAAATTTACCAAAACACAACTCCATGTGGTATTTCATAGCTAAGGTACTAGAAATGCAACAGGCTAGAGCCTCTTTGTGGTTATTGACATGATATTTTGGTTTTTTCCTTCCTTTTTTGTTAATTTAATGTTTCCCCTGTGGCCTAAAAGAATAATGAAGCTTCTTAAGTTCCTGCAGCAGTCCCAGACTGTAACTTATGCACAAGAAGCTGGGTCATTAAGCTAAAGGTCTCTGGATGAGCATCATCTCTAACAAGCATAAAGGTGATCTTGACCCATATTGTCATTCAGGGAATAACTTTCCTGATTCCCAATGATAGAACCATAATTGAGTTTCACAGATGAAAGGCAATCAGATCAAAAAGTTTTTGGTCCTTTGAAAACAGAGATCTCAAAAATTTTTAATAAAAGAAAATTAAAAATAGGGATTTCTAATAGTAATTTAGATATTAATTTGATTTATTGGAAAGTTACTGGCAAACACAATTTAGAAAATTTTAATTTGCCTTGGGAGTAAGAGAGATATATGTATATTTCTCTTATATATTTAAATATAAATTCAAATCAATAAATAAATATAAATATATATTAAAATATTAAATTTCATCTCTTAGTTTTAATTTCTGATATAAGTATTTTCAAAAACCTCTGATTATTCAAAACCTCCAAATTATTCAATTTGGCAAAAACAATTTAGCAAATAATTTGGCCAAATTTTTATAGGAAACCAAACAATTTAACTGCCATATAGAATGGGAACAGATTTCTTATTTGAGCATAATTATACTTTTAAGGTTTTTAAAATATATTTTTAAAAACATTTAAATATATTTAAAGTAGTAAATAAAATATTTTGAGTCAGACTAATTTGTCCCAGTCAGCAAAAATTAAGGATTTGGAAGGATGTGAGTGTAAATATGATGGCAAATATGAACAGAAAAGGTATTTCCTTAAACATAAAATGAACCTCAAAATGTATGTCAGATGATATTTAAAAGTGCATTAAAATTTACCTTAAGATTGAATTCACATTTATATTATGAAATAAATTCATGATTAATGAGCACTCATGATTTTATCAATACACTTTTATCAAAAAGAGCTAATCTGTAAATCACTCAGTATATATTCATAATTGAAATATTAACAGTAATATTAAGTGCTATGTTTTAAGCAGAACAGATATTTTTTACTTATATGGCCAGAGGTAAACCAACTCTGCCACCAAATCTAAATGTATGCTTCTGTCCCTGAAATACAGCAAGAAAATTTGCTGTACTGCAGATGAAGAAAGTGTTCATAAATTTAAATAAAACAATCTCAAATGAAAACCAAAAAGTTTAAATGAAAAGGAATGGAGGTCAAAAGTATTAAATGTAGTGATTTTCTGAAAAGTAATTATTTTAATATTGATATTTATATCAACCTCCTATATAATATCAATATTCAATAGTTTTTAATTACAACATTTAGAGTATTTATTGTCAAAATTTTTCTGAGTACATAGTAACATACAATATTTAAATTTCTTCTTAGTGCTTAGTATTCTCTTCTGTGATCATTCCCCCACACCATCACATTAAATGCATTTATTTTTATCTTTAAATAAACTACAAAACAGTGTACCCATGGCAGGTAAAGACTTTAGTAAATGGTGTGCTTAAAGAACTGTAAAGTTCTAGATCTAAAAGATTCATAATGACTCAGTTTTCCTCTGTCATAATGGATTTAGCTAATTTTCTTTTTTTTATTATTCTACTTTAAGTTCTAGGGTACCTGTGCAAAACGTGCAGTTTTGTTACATAGGTATACACGTGCCATGACGGTTTGCTGCACCCATCAACCCTTCATCTACATTAGGTATTTCTCCTAATTCTATCCCTCCCCTCACCCCCCAACCCCCGACAGGCCCTGATGTATGATGTTCCCCTCCCTGTGTCCATGTGTTCTCATTGTTCAACTCCCACTTATGAGTGAGAACACGGGGTGTTTGGTTTTCTGTTCTTGTGTTAGTTTGCTGAGAATGATGGTTTCCAGCTTCATGCACGTCCCTGCAAAGGACATGAACTTATCCTTTTAATAGCTGCATAGTATTCCATGGTGTATATGTGCCACATTTCTTTATCCAGTCTATCATTGATGGGCATTTGGATTGGTTCCAAGTTTTTGCTATTGTGAATAGTGCCACAATAAACATATGTGTGCATGTGTCTTTACAGTAGAATGATTTATAATCCTTTGGGTATATACCCAGTAATTGGATTGCTGAGTTAAATGGTATTTCTGGTTCTAGATCCTTGAGAAATCACCACACTGTCTTCCACAATGGTTGAACTTACTTACACTCCCACCAACAGTGTAAAAGTGTTCCTATTTCTCCACATGCTTTCCAGCATCTGTTGTTTCCTGACTTTTTAATGATTGCCATTCCAACTGGCATGAGATGGTTTCTCATTGTGGTTTTGATATGCATTTCTCTAATGACCAGTGATGATGAGATTTCATATGTTTCTTGGTGACATAAATGTCTTCTTCTGAGAAGTGTCTGTTCATATCCTTCACCCACTTTTTGATGGGGTTGTTTTCTTGTAAATTTGTTTAAGTTCTTTGTAGATTCTGGATATTAGCCTTTTATCAGATGGATAGATTGCAAAAATTTTCTACCATTCTGTAGGTTGCCTGTTCACTCTGATGAAAGTTTCTTTTGCTGTGCAGAAGCTCTTTAGTTTAATTAGATCCCATTTGTCAATTTTGGCTTTTGTTGCCATTGCTTTTGGTGTTTTAGTTATGAAGTCCTTGCCCATACCTATTTCCTGAATAGTATTGCCTACGTTTTCTTCTAAGGTTTTTATGGTTTTAGGTCCTTGGTTTAAGTCTTTAATCCATCTTGAGTTAATTTTTGTATAAGGTGTAAGGAAGGGATCCAGTTTCAGTTTTCTGCATATGGCTAGCCAGTTTTCCTAACACCATTTATTAAATAGGGAATCCTTTTTCCATTGCTTGTTTTTGTTAGTTTTGTCAAAGATCAGATGGTTGTAGATGTGTGGTGTTATTTCTGAGGACTCTGTTCTGTTCCATTGGTCTATATATCTGTTTTAGTACCAGTACCATGCTGCTTTGGTTACTGTAGCTTTGTAGTATAGTTTGAAGTCAGGTAGTGTGATGCCTCCAGCTTTGTTCTTTTTTATTAGGATTGCCTTGGCTGTGTGGGCTCTTTTTTGGTTCCATATGAAATTTAAAGTAGTTTTTTCCAATTCTGTGAAGAAAGTCAATGGTAGCTTGATGGGGATAGCATTGAATCTATAAATTACTTTGGACAGTATGGCCCTTTTCACGATATAAATTCTTTCTATCCATGAGCATGGAATATATTTCCATTTATTTGTGTCCTCTCTTATTGCCTTGAGCAGTGGTTTGTAATTCTCCTTGAAGAGTTCCTTCACATCCCTTGTAAGTTGAATTCCTAGGTATTTTATTCTCTTTGTAGCAATTGTGAATGGGAGTTCACTCATGATTTGGCTCTCTGTGTGTTTGTTATTTGGTGTATAGGAATGCTTCTGAATTTTGCACATTGATTTTGTATCCTGAGACTTTGCTGAAGTTGCTTATCAGCTTAAGGAGATTTTGGGCTGAGATGATGGGGTTTTTTAAATATACACTCATGACATCTGCAAACAGAGACAATCTGACTTTCTCTTTTCCTATTTGAATACACTTTATTTCTTTCTCTTGCTTGATTGCCCTGGCCAGAACTTCCAATACAATGTTGAATAGGAGTGGTGAGAGAGGACATCCTTATCTTGTGCTGGTTTTCAAAGGGAATGCTTCCCGTTTTTGCCCATTCAGTATGATATTGGCTGTGGTTTTGTCATAAATAGCTATTATTATTTTGGGATACGTTCCATCAATACCTAGTTTATTGAGAGAGTTTTTAGCATGAAGGGGTATTGAATTTTGTCGAAGACTTTTTCTGCATCTATTGAGATAATCATGTGGTTTTTGTCATTGGTTCTGTTTATGTGATGGATTACATTTATCGATTTGCATATGTTGAACCATCCCAGGGATCAAGGCGACTTGATCGTGGTGGATGAGCTTTTTGATGTGCTGCTGGATTTGGTTTGCCAGTATTTTATTGAGGATTTTTGCATTGATGTTCATCAGGGATAGTGGCCCTGAAATTTTCTTTTGTTGTTGTTGTTGTGCCTTTGCCAGGTTTTGTTATCAGGATGATGCTGGCCTCATAAAATGACTTAGGGAGGATTCCCTCTTTCTATTGTTTGCAATAGTTTCAGAAATAATGGTACCAGCTCTTCTTTGTACCTCTGGTAGAATTCGGCTGTGAATCTATCCAGTCTTGAGGTTTTTTTGGTTGGTAGGCTATTAATTGCTGCCTTAATTTCAGAACTTGTTATTGGTCTATTCAGGGATTTGACTTCTTCCTGGTTTAGTCTTGGGAGGGTGTATGTGTCCAGGAATTTATCCATTTCTTCTAGATTTTCTAGTTTATTTGTGTAGAGGTGTTTATAGTATTCGCTGATGGTAGTTTGTATTTCTGTGGGATCAGTAGTGATATCCCCTTTATCATTTTTTATTGCATCTATTTGATTCTTCTCTCTTTTCTTCTTTATTAGTCTGGCTGGTGGTCTATCTATTTTGTTGATCTTTTCAAAAAACCAGGTCCTGGATTCATTGATTTTTTTGAAGGGTTTTTCGTGTCTCTATCTCCTTCAGTTCTGCTCTGATCTTATTTATTTCTTGCCTCCTGCTAGCTTTTGAATGTGTTTGCTCTTGCTTCTCTAGTTCTTTTAATTGTGATGTTAGGGTGTCAATTTTAGATCTTTCCTGCTTTCTCTTGTGGGCATTTAGTGCTATAAATTTCCCTCTAAACACTGCTCCAAATGTGTCCCAGAGATTCTGGTACGTTGTGTCTTTGTTCTCATTGGTTTCAAAGAACATCTTTATTTATGCCTTAGTTTCATTATTTACCCAGTAGTCGTTCAGGAGAGGAACAACCAGTATCTGCCACTGCAAAAACATATCAAATTGTAAAGACCATCGACACTATGATAGAAACTGCATCAACTAATGGGCAAAATAACCAGCTAGCATCATAATGACAGGATCAAATTCACACATAACAATATTAATCTTAAATGTAAATGGGCTAAATGCCCCAATTAAAAGACACAGACTGGCAAATTGGATAGTCAAGACCCATCAGTGTACTCTATTCAGGAGGCCCATCTCACATGCAAAAACACACATAGGCTCAAAATAAAGGGACGGAGGAATATTTACCAAGTAAATGGAAAGCAAAAAAAAAAAAAAAAAAGAGAAAAAAGCATGGTTGCAATCCTAGCCTCTGATAAGACTTTAAACCAACAAAGATTAAAAGAGACAAAGAAGAGCATTACATTGAAGTTGCATTGGTAAAGGGATCAATGCAACAAGAAGAGCTAACTATCCTAAATATATATGCACCCAATACAGGAGCACCCAGATTCAAAAAGCAAGTTCTTAGAGACCTACAAAGAGATTTAAACTCCCACACAATAATAGTGGGAGACTTGAACACTCCACTGTCACTATTAGACAGATCAATGAGACAGAAGGTTAACAAGGATATTCAGGACTTGAACCCAGCTCTGGACCAAGCAGACCTAATAGGCATCTACAGAACTCTCCACTCCAAATCGATAGAATATGCATAATTCTCAGCACCTCATCCCCCTTATTCTAAGATTGACCACATCATTGGAAGTAAAGCACTCCTCAGCAAATGCAAAAGAATGGAAATCATAACAAACATTCTCTCAGACCACAGTGCAATCAAATTAGAACTCAGGATTAAGAAACTCACTCAAAACTGCACAACTACATGGAAACTGAAAAACCTGCTAATTTTCTTTAATTAATATATTTTTAGTTTTCTAAGAAGGTAAGCTGCCTTTTTTTTTCAAAGTTTTAGGATTAATGATATATTAGTCATCATTCTCCAGAACCAACACTATATAATTAGCAATGGAAAAAGTTAGGTGTGCATTTTTACCTATGTATTTCAATATAATTTCAAATTTATAGAAAATTTGCAAAAATTATACAGACTGTAGACACTAATATAACTTTTGCCAAGTGTGATGGTTAATACTGAGTGTCAACTTTATTGGATTGAGGGATACAAAGTATTAATCCTGGGTGTTTCTGTGTGAGTGTTGCCAAAAGAGATTAACATTTGAATCAGTGGGCTGGGGAAGGCAGATCCACCCTTAATCTGGTGGGCACAATCTAATCAGCTTCAAGGGAATATAAAGCAGACAGAAAAATGTAAAAATGAGAGATTGTCCTAGCCTCCCAGCCTGCATCTTTCTCTCATGCTGGATGCTTCCTGCCCTCCAACATCAGACTCCAAGTTTTGGGACTCACTCGGACTGGCTCTCCTTGCTCCTCAGCTTGCAGGCAGTGTATTGTGGGACTTTATGATTGTGTAAGTTAATACTTAATAAACTCATATATATACATTCATATTATATATAATAGGATATATATTATTATATATAATAATAGGATATATATAAATAGGATATATATAATATATATAATAGGATATATATGTTATATATATAATAGGATATATATATTATATATATAATAGGATATATAATATATAATAGGATATATATCATATATAATAGGATATATAATATATAATAGGATATATATTATATATAATAGGATATATATATTATATATAATAGGATATATATTATATATAATAGGATATATATATTATATATAATAGGATATATATTATATATAATAGGATATATATTATATATATAATAGTATATATATATTTTATATATAATAGGATATATATATGTGTATATTTATATACATATATACACATATATATATATCCTATTAGTTCTGTCCCTCTATGTTGTGGGAAGTCAGGGACCCCAAACGGAGGGACCGGCTGAAGCCATGGCAGAAGAACATGGATTGTGAAGATTTCATGGACATTTATTAGTTCCCCAAATTAATACTTTTATAATTTCCTATGCCTGTCTTTACTGCAATCTCTGAACATAAAACTGTAAAGATTTCATGGACACTTATCACTTCCCCAATCAATACCCTTGTGATTTCCTAGGCCTGTCTTTACTTTAATCTCCTAATCCTGTCAGCTGAGGAGGATGTATGTTGCCTCACGACCCTGTGATAATTGTCTTAACTGCACAAATTGTAGAGCATGTGTGTTTGAGCAATATGAAATCTGGGCACCTTGAAAAAAGAACAGGATAACAGCAATGTTTGGGAAACAAGAGATAACCTTAAACTCTGACTGCCGGTGAGCTGGGCAGAACAGAGCCATATTTCTCTTCTTTCAAAAGCAAATGGGAGAAATATCGCTGAATTCTTTTTCTCAGCAAGAAACATCCCTGGGAAAGAGAATACGTGCCTGGGGGTAGGTCTATACACGGCCCCCCTGGGCGTGGCTGTCTTTTATGGTCTGTAGACTGTAGGGGTGAAATAGACCCCCATCTCCCATAGCACTCCCAGGCTTCTTAGGAAGAAGAAATTCCCACCTAATAAATTTTGGTCAGACCGGTTGCTCTCAAAACCCTGTCTCCTGATAAGATGTTATCAATGACAATGGTGCCTGAAACTTCATTAGCAATTTTAATTTCATCCCAGTCCTGTGGTCCTGTGATCTCACACTGCCTCCATTTGCCTTGTGATATTCTATGACCTTGTGAAGTACTTGCTGTCTGTGACCCACACCCTATTCGTACACTCCCTCCCCTTTTGAAAGTCCCTAATAAAAACTTGCTGGTTTTATGGCTTGTGGGGCATCACGGAACCTACCGACATGTGATGTCTCCCCCGGATGCCCAGCTTTAAAATTTCTCTCTTTTGTACTCTGTCCCTTTATTTCTCAAGCTGGCTGATGCCTAGGGAAAATAGAAAAGAACCTACATGACTATCAGGGCAGGTTCCCCGATACCTCTAAGAGAACCCTGACTAATACACCAAGATAAACTAATTATTTACATTTTGCTCTATTTACTCATTCTTTCTCACCCATATACACTCTAGTGTATACATTGTTTCCTAAGAACAAGGAAATTTTCATATTCAATCACACAATAATTATCAAAACCAAAATCAAAAAATTTAATACTAACATAAATCATTCTCATTATGTCCTCATTATGTCCTCCATAGTTTTTCCCAGTACAGGATCCAGTCTTGAATCCGGTCCATGTTCCTGCATTTAGTTGCCATACTGTCATATTGCTTTAGTCTCTAATATGAATTGTGTCTTTTTTCTGCTTTTATTTGTCATTCTTCCCCTTAAAATTTTCAAAGAGGAAAGGCCATTTCTTTTTGGACTCTCCTTCATATTGAGTATCCCATTGTTTTCTCATAATTAGAGGAGTTTATGTCCTTTTGGCAAGAATGCCATAGAGGTCATGTGTAGCCTTCTTAGTACATCATGTCAGGAGGCACATGGTGTCATTTTAACCCAATATTGATAATAACTTTAATAATTTGATTAAAGTGCTGAACACAACATTTATCCACTGTAAAATTCATGCTTTCTCTTTTGGTAATTAATAAATAATTAGTGGGTAACACTTTGACATTATGTCATTATGATGCCCCTCATCAAAATATTACCCATTAGTGGTAGCACATATTCATCATTTTTGGCTGAAGCAATTATTATTATTATACCTACAATTTAGTGACTTTCCAACCTCTTCTTTTTTGTACATTTTTTTGTTTATTGCAAGGAAGAGCTTCCCTTTTCTCTCATTGATTCATTTCCTTATATCAGTTTAGGTTCATAGATTCCTACTTTATTAAGCACATTATGATCTTCTACTGTATTTACTAATTTCTGATACTCAAATTGTGCCAGGTGTGTACATTTGGAGCTTCTTCAGTTTGGCCCCTGGGTGCTTTCCACCTGTATCTAACATTCTTTGAGAAAGCATTTACTTTCTGGAAAAAAATATTCTAGGCAGATGTTGTAGTTTCCCTACCCAGGCCCTGGAACCATCCATTTATCCAAGGAGTCCTCATTATTTTTATTGGAGAATGATATTTGAAAACCAGGATCTGCGAGATAGTCATGATCATTGCAATCAACGTGACATTGCTGTGAGGTACTCTTAACGAGTAGAACAAGGAAGTATTTGTGTGTGTGTATCTGTGTGTCTCTATCTATCTTCCTTCCTACCTACCTACCTACCTACCTACCTACCTACCTACCTATCTACCTATCTATATTGGAAGGACATTCACATACAGTTATTGTGTGTGTATGAGGGGTGAGTGTGAGTAGTGACATAGGGTGAAATGCACAAATATTAAATGTACCATTCAATGAGTTTTTGAAAATGCACACTCCCATAATCTATAAAGATAAGAAACATTAAAGTAATCTGAGAAAGTTATCTTTCCACTCTACACAAAGCACCAATGTTCTGATTTGTGCATCATTAGATTTCAATATTAAGTACTTCATGTAAATGAAATCGTATGTTGGCTTATTTTACTCAGCATAATGCTTTTGCTATTCAGCCATGTTGTTGCATCTATCACTAGTTTGTTCCTTTTTATTATATTCAGAATTCATTGTGTAAATACACAAGTTTGGTTATCTTTTCTGCTGTTGATGGATATTTCCATTTTACAATGTTGGGTTATTTTGAATAATGATGCTGTGAGTACGTATAAACAAGTCTTTATATGGATATATTTTAATTTCTCTTGGGTAAATATCCAGTGACATATTGCCAAGTTAAGGAGTAAGTGGTGTGTATAACTATAAGAAAGTGTCAAAAAACACATTCCAAAGTGATTATATCATTCTAAACTTCAATCAGTATAGGAGTTATTCTATACGCTCAGCAAGAAACAGTTTAAGTCTTTAATTTCAGCAGATTTAATTTGTGTAGTCTGATATTTCATTGCAGTCTTGATTTACATTTCTATGATAACTAATAACTGAGCTAGGGTCTTGATTTACATTTCCATGATGACTAATAACTGAGCAATCTGTATGTGCTAATTGCCATTTCATATATCTTCCTTTATGATCTAAGTGTCTGTTCATGTCCTTTGTTCTTCTATTCATTTGTCTTTTAATAATTAAATTGTAGGAGCTCTTTATATATTCTAGGCCAGCCTTTACCCAATATAGATTTTATGCATATTTATTCCAATTCGTGCCTGTGTGCATATTATAAGTGTCTTTTCATGAGGATACTTATCATTTGGATGCAGTTTACATGGTATTTTTAATGCTTTGGTTATTCTTTATTGTGCTATAAGTCAAGAAGATATATTTTTGTATTCTTTTAAAAGCTTTATAGGTTTTATACATTTTTAAATAATTTCTATTGATACATAATAGTTGTACATATTCATGGAATACACCTGATATGTTGATATAAACACACAATATGTAATGATCACATCAGGGTAATTGGGATATCTTCCACCACAAGCATTTATCATTTATTTGTGTTAGAAACATTCCAATTCCACTATTTTATTTTTAAATATAGACTTATTGTTACTTAAATTCACCCTATTATGCTACCAAACACTAGATCTTACTTTGTCTAACTACGTTTTTTCTACCCATTCAACAACTCCTCTTTATTTCCCCCTCCCCACTCCCCTTTCCTGCCTCTGGTAACCATCTTTCCACTCTTAAATTTTGTATTTATGTTTAAGTCTATGATCCATCATGAATTGATTTGTATGGTGTGACATGCACATACATACACACACAAACACTCATTCAATTGAACAGTGTTTTTAAATCATTTATTAACAATGCTTTCCTTTACCAATTGAATTGCTTTGGCAACTTTGCTAAAAGTTAATTGAACTTACTCTTTTGCTTTAGTGATCTATTTGTCAATTCTCGTGTCAGTTCCATACACTACTGAATACTCTGACTTTAATTTAAACTTTGATGTCAAATAGTGTAAATACTTCAATTATAGACATCATTTTCAAGACTGTTTTGCTTATTCTGTCTTCCATATGTCCATATAGATTTTTAAATATTTTGTAATTTAATATAAAACAGCCTCTTGAGACTTTGGTATTTTACTGAAAATATACATTAATTTAGGGGAGAATTGACCTCTTAATATGCTCCCTGACTTATGATTTCTCAACTTATGATTTTATGATGGTATAAAAGCAATATACTTTCAATAGAAACTGTACTTCAAATTTCCATTTGGTACTCTTGATAGATGATAGACCAATATATATTAGGTAGATAGAGACAGATGCTGATATTCCACATCTGTTCTTCCAATGAAAACATATTTACCTTTAAGTGCTTGAACGTATTTAATATGACTGCTTTAAAGTCTTTATCTGCTAAATGCAACATGTAGACATCTCATCATTTATTTAATATTAACTGCCTTTTAATTTTACTTTTGGTCCTGTTTCTCATATTTCCTTGCATGCATATTTTTTATTATTTTCAACTGAAGTTTGTGGACATGTATTAAACTCTGGACTCTGTTATCTTCCTCTGAAGAATGTTATTTTTAGTTAACTTGTCCAGACTAACTTCACGATCTGTCTCACTGGTGGTGGACAGCAGCTAGACTTACTACTGGGTTCTTTTAGCCTGCCAGTTGTTATGTTGTTTCAGAATGTTTGGAGCTTCCCTCATGTAAGTACTGTTGAGGAGTAAGCCAAAGATTTGGGAACAGTTCAGATATGCAGAGTTGAGGCTTCTTCCCTTTGTTGTTCCCTCCTTTATTAAATTCCTCTTTCATTTTCATGACTGTCTTGTAGACTCAAACCTCATCATCTGACTCCTCAAGCCAGTAAGTCTGTGGCTTTTGGCTTCAGTTCCAGCCAACTGGTATCACGTGAGTCCGGAGCATCCTCTGACAAAAAGCCACATGAACACAAATCTCACCCAGTATAGTTCTTTTCTTCAGGGATCAAATCCCTTCCAGTTTCTACTTTCTTTTGGCCATTTTTCTGTGATTTCACATAGCTGTTCTATATTTTCCCCAGGGTTTATAATTTTCAGCTCCAACTCTGTTGCTATTGCTGGAATTGGAATGAAGTGGTTCACTTTTTATTTCAACCATTATAAGGCATTATGATTCAAATATTTTCAATCTATAAAAACGGACAGCTCATTTTATTACTCTGCCAAGAATAGGGCAATGCTATACACTACACATAAACATGTGCTTAGACACAACACACAAACGTATAATTTCATTTAATCCTGAAGATAACATTGGAGATAAGCATATTTATCCAGTTTTACATTACAAAAAGTAAGACTGAGAGATACTGCTGCTTGGGCAAGTTCAAAAAGTTAGGTACAGAATAAAAATCAATTATAGCCATGTCATACTCTTTTGATATTCTCTATTTTCTCTTCCACTCTGTCTCTCTCTTTCTCTCTCTAGCTCTCTCTCTCTCCCTCCCCCACCCGATCCTCTCTCTCTCTCTCTGGAAAACAAATATATGTTAAATCTCTAAATGTTAGCATCATTGATGAATATCAATTAAACAGTATAATTTCATGGTTGAGATCACAGGCTTTAGAATAAGACAAACTTAGTTTTCATTTCTGCATAACCATTTATTCTTTATATGAATGACCAAATCTACAAAACAGAATGATAGAAATAACATAAAATTGCAGTCAGAATTAAATGTAATATTTCATGCAGAATATCTAATGTACATAGAAAGTGTTCAATAGAGATTAGATTTTATAATAACTATTTAATAAAGTTTCATTCAAATATACTAAGGATTTAATCTTCTTGGAAAAGAAATTCTCCCATGATATACTTATGCCAGATGTGATCCATCACATCTAGATAAACAATCTCAATAATATTAAGTGGGAAGGGGACAAAGAAACATTTATTGGAGGTATGCCATGAACCAAATACTGAGATAGGCATTTTTGAATATGTGATTCTATTTTACTTTCACACATTTTTTAAAGTAAATAACTCCTATTTATTTACAGATGAAGAGACTAAAGCTGAAAAACTTAAAGTAACTTATCCAAAATCATAAACCATTAATTATCTCAGCCAGTACTGGAACTTTAATCTGCCTTTCACATTTCACTTTGCCATGTTGCAAAACTGGATTGCCATGAATCTACAATGAATACTGAGCCATTTAAAACTTTTCTTATTAAAACACTGTCTGGGGTTTAAATGCTTCCTAGACTTTCTTTCCTCAGTCTCTCTCCTTCTACCCTCCTTAATTTAGTGCCCTAATTTTCTTCCTTCAAAATTTCATGCCATCATAGTCCAATTATAATCTCATCTTTCTGTCTTTCTCTTTATCCATTTATGTCATTTTTGTTGAATTGATTTCAAAATTTAGTTTTATGATGCTCAAAAACCTTTCAAATAGCACATAACCACATAGTATACTGTCTTATGCATTGAGAGAAATGAAATAGATTTATACAGTCTTATTCTTTCCCTGAAGACTTTTTAAATTGCATTTGTTTTATTAAATCACATGTGACCACTTACTGTTTTACTTAGCTAATGCATTCTGTACTGGCCCATGATTTCAAGCAGTCCTGAAGAATGGTCTCGATTAGATAACTTTGCCAAATGCACAACACCAACCATATTGATATTTCAAAGTGGTTCAGCCATTAGGAAAATGATCTTAGAAACAGAATTATAAATGTCAGGTATTACACATAAGATTATAAACATTAGTTATAGACATATTGAAAGAACTAATGAAGCAAAAATGAAATAGCAATCAAATAAGGGGTGGAGATACAGTTACATATATTATAATAGACAAAGAGTGATTATGACATTGGATCTTACTCAAAAGCACTCACTGTTTTATAGCAAAAATTGGTTTTGTGCAGTTTATGTTAGTTTGGGTCATAATTTTTAAGAGATTAATAAAAGACTAAGAATAAAGATGAAATATCCATTTCAAGTTCAAGAAAGTAAAAGAGATGTGAAGAAGGTAAATCCTGGATCAAGACTGAGAAGAAACTAGTTCTTTTCGCAGCTCTGCTTCAAACATCTAAGGTGAAGCTAAGACATTACTTAATAATTCTTTAAGTTGAAGTGGGAGCATTAATTTACTTTCACATACTCTTTGGTAATTTTACTCTAATTTATGATTGGTCATGAGGAGTCTGTTGATCCATATTTCACATCTGTGGAGCATCAAACAAACAAAAAAAGACATTTTGTTAAAAATATTTTTGTATTCAGGCACAGACTGTGGTGAATGAACATCTAAATCTATGGAATCTCTATATTATAAATCTTTTCCAGATATTGGCAGTTTGGGGGTAGTGGCATAACACATAAAGCTTTCAACAACATATACTGCCAAAACTAAGCAATAGAATACATTATCTGAACTCCTACTTTTTCATAGTTCTGCGATTTAAAACATGTTAAATGCTATTACCTTTACTATTAATACATACTTTATTGGTTCAACCTTTTCCTTCTCAGTATATTCCATCATACTATAGTGATACTGACTTGGTCTCTACATTGGTTTAGTAGATGTCAGAACCCAAACATTTAAGACACTTTATTTGGGTATAAATAAATGATTATGAGATGCTTATAATCACTAATGAAACTAAGCAAAATTCACAGGCACAGGAGAATAATATTAATTTAATACATGTGTCTAACATGAAGTTTTCAAAACTTTATAAAGAGGAAGAGAGAGCTACCTAGACTTAGAGTCCAACTCATGTGATATTGATAGAGTGCAGGAACATACTAGTTTTGAAGTACCTGTGATTATCATATTCATCCTCCTTCAACAGCAAACTTTTCCTTTTCTTATGTGATATGGCTTGACCCTATGATCCAAATCTGATCTTGAATTATAGCTCCCATAATCCCCACGTGTCATGGGAGGAACCTTATGCACTATCATGAGAACAGCACAGGGGTAGTTTTTCCTGTGCTGTTTTCATGATAGTGAATAGGTCTCACAAGATCTGATGGTTTTTATAAAGGGCAGTTCCCCTGCACAAGTTCTCTTGCCTAGTAAAATAAAAAGCTTTCACAAAGAATGTTAATATTATCTTGAAATTCTAAATATTTATTTAACTTGCTTACTGACGATGTTCACAAAGTATGTTCAAGTGTGAAGGTTAATGCGTTATTTCTTATCTCATCCTGATCTTGCGTCTCTTTTCTATATGTATAGCTTCAGACAAAAGTGCAGCAAATGAAAGTCCATCCTGCCACTCTTCCAAAGAGCAAAGAGTGTCCATGGAAATTAATCAACATCCAGGTTTCATTGTCTGTCTGTCTGTCTTTTTCTGACAAACGAATCAGGGACTCAAGTGCTCTCAAGGAGCTCAAGTTGATGATTGATGGCTTATAGTTGACTGTAACATGAATAACTTCTACTTTGGGGATGTCTGTATACTACATGCTTGCTCTTCACTTGTGGTTTGAGAAGGACATCTAGGAAATCCCACTCTATGTTCTACCAATTCTGTTGCACTTGAACTCTACGGTGTAGTCAGAGCTCTGACAATGAATTAATTTTTTCCAAATAATCCAAAAGCACAAAAGCAGTATAAGATAAAGGCTTTCCTTTAAGGATAATTAATTTTACAATTAAAAATACGTTCTATTTTGCATGTGTATGACACATTAAACCTTGATTGTTTAGTTCAAATTTTTTTGCACATTTAAAAACCTCAAGCCAGATTCTATTCATAGTTACAGATACAGAAATCCTATAAAAATATTAATAAATTGATTTTATCAATATATAAAAAGGATCACATGTAATGTCTAAGTAGGATTTGGAGTTTTGATGATTAGTTAGCATCCATTAATATAATAATCATATGAATAGATTAGAAGAAATCACATTACGTCTTCCAATAGATTGAGAAAATCCATATGATAAAATTCAATATCCATTCATTAAAAAATTCTTAGCAAACTAAAAATAGAGGGAAACCCTCTTTATCTGACATAACATATATCAAACCTACAGAAAACTTCACACTTATTGATGAATAACTAAAATTATTACTTTGATTTAGAATCATTATCAGAAGAAATATCTCCACTTTTATTCAACATTGTAGGAAGTTTTAAACAAAACAACGGAACAAGAAAATAAATGTATAAGGATTGAAAAAAGTGGGGAAGAGCCTTTTTCCTAGACAATACAATAATATGCCAAGGAATGTAAAGTAAACGTCTAGGACAGATTACGATGTTTAACAAGGTTGCTGGATATAAACTTGACATATGTATTAAATTGCATTCCTATTTATAAACAACAGCAAGAAAACAAAGTTTCAATAATTACAATAGTAACAGTGAATATCAATTTAGATATTCTGGGAATAACTGTAAATAGATGTGTGAGATATCTCCAAGAAATATAAAATATTATTGAGAAGCATTAAAGGCAGTTAACTAATGAAGCTGCATACTATGTTCATTGCTTAAAAGTTGAAACATTACAATATGAATAGAATGTTATCCCACCCAAAACCATAACACATTTCATATAATTTGACAACATAATTTAAAAATTTATCTGGAAGTACATTCTTTTTTTTTTTTATTTTATTTGTTTATTTTTTTTTTGAGACGGAGTCTCGCTCTGTCACCCAGGCTGGAGTGCAGTGGCACGATCTCAGCTCACTGCAAGCTCCGCTTCCCGGGTTCATGCCATTCTCCTGCCTCAGCCTCCCGAGTAGCTGTGACTACAGGCGCCCACCACCACGCCCGGCTAATTTTTTGTATTTTTAGTAGAGATGGCATTTCACTGTGTTAGCCAGGATGGTCTCGATCTCCTGACCTCGTGATCCTCCCGCCTCGGCCTCCCAAAGTGCTGGGATTACAGGCGTGAGCCACCGCGCCCGGCCCTGGAAGTATATTCTTGAAGAATAAAGCTCAACTAAACATGCAGACTTATAATAAGTTTCTACTGATTAGCAAACTATGGTAGTAGCACAATGACAAGCCCATACACAAAAGGAACAGAATAATACGCTCAAAGATAGACCAATTTATTTATGGACGCTTGACAAATTAGATACTTCGCACTGCAGAGTAGTGGGATGGTGGTGGGGGGAGGCTTTGCAGAAAATGAGGGCCGAGTGGAAATCAATTTAAATAGAAAATAAACTAAATGGGACTTGCATGGCCCTGTGTATAAAATTCATTTCTAGGTATCTTTGTTGAAAAACATGCCTATAAGGCTATGAGAAAATTATTAACAACATATTTTTATTTCCTAGGGTAAAGACTAAATTTTAAAGCCTCCCAAAAAACACAAATAATAAAGTAAATGATTAATAAATTCCATTATATAAATATTGACAATTAGTGCATCACAGACACCACGAAAATGGTACAAATGCAAACCATAATGTAAGAGAATATATTTTTTTAAAAAATAACTAAATAGGGACTATAAAAACAAAAATACCACCACCACCACCAACAATGACAATGACAAATTCTTACCAATATTAAGATAAAGACAGGACTACATAAATGAAAAATGGGCAAAATATTCAAGAAAATGCTTTGTAAAGAGGGAAGGCAAATAGTCCGTAAATATTAGAAATAAGGGAAATACAAATTAAGAAAAATATAACTTCAAACTCACTGAGTTGTTAAAAAATTTACAGTCTGACAATACTATGTGTTGCGGAGGATGTGGAGATGTCATCTCATATCATGAGAGTATAAATTGATACAACCATATCAAAAGGCAGTGTGACATTATCTAGTAAATCTGAGAGCATGCAAAACTTATAATCCAGCAATTTCTCTCCTCAGTATGCATTGCAGAGAAACATAGGCACGTGCAACAATTATATACAGGCAGCTCTAAGTAATGTTATTCTGAATAGCCCCAATGTGAAAACACTCAAATATCCATCAGCAATAGAATAGCTCAATAAATTGTTATATTCATAAAATATTCAGCAATTAAAATGAATAAACCACAGCTGTACGCAATAATATAGATGGATTTTACAAACAAAATATTGAGCAGTAGATGCCAGAAACAAAATAATCTATATAGTATGATAGCTGTTCAAAACTATGCAAAACTCTGCTATTTAAGAAAGCATATGGCCGGGTGTGGTGGCTCACACCTGTAATCCCAGCACTTTGGGAGGCTGAGGCAGACGAATCACGAGGTCAGGAGTTTGAGACCAGCCTGGTCAACATGGTGAAACCCGGTCTGTACTAAACATACAAAAAATTAGCTGGGCGTGATGGCAGGCACCTGTAATCCCAGCTACTCAGGAGGCTGAGGCAGGAGAATCACTTGAACCTGGGAGGTGGAGGTTGCAGTGAGCTGATATCACGCCACTGCATTCCAGCCCAGGCGAGAGTGTGAGACTCCATCTCAAAAAAAAAAAAAAAAAAAAAAAAAAGCGCATATTTTTTTTAATAAAAAGAAATAATTCTCAGTTAAGTCAGGATATTGCTTACATCTGACAGCAAACAGGAGTTTGCAGTCTGGCAATACGCCCATGTTTCTAGGTGGGGATGTTTCATTACGCTGTCTTCTAACTTGATGTTGTTTACATGATGTTCACTTTATATGCATCCATTAAATGCCACATATATGTTTTACACTGTGTGTCATATTTAACCACTGAAAAAAATGTAAATTAAAAAAGTCCAGTGGCTGTCTTCAAGAGTTAGCTCCAACACATGAGGACGGACTCAACTCATTCAAGTAAACTTAGTTGTGTCCTCTTTGTCTCTAAAACATCTTGTATTTATATATCTTATAATGCTGGCTTTGTCTTGTTACGGTTTTGCATGTTACTTTCCCCTGCACTGAGTTATTGACCCTCAAGGGCTGGGACTACATCTTCCCCGGTTTTGTTTCTGGAGGGCCTAGCACAGAACTTGCTAGTACTTGCTGGTGCTAGAATGTCTTTTAATCAATGCTCAATCTTACCATGGTTATCTCCATCAGTCTAATGAGACCCAGCATTTTATTATTTTTCTATATCATATTTTTCTCCATTGAATACTAAAACTGTGCAAATAAACATGATTTCTCTACACAAAGCTAAATTTAAATAACCTTAGAGCTAGAACATTTACATAATTGTAGCTATGATCACATTTATGTAATATAGGGTCTTTTTAATAATGTCAGTTATATATAACAATTATTATCATTGTTCATAATAAATGAGATAAAAAGTTGGGTGTTATTTGCTATCAGTGAATGCTGATGAAATATTTGTCCCAGTCTGATTTGGTGAAAGTGGATATAGCCTAGCAGTTGTGATATACAAGCTGCCAGACATTCTGGTAAACAAAAACAAACAATGGAATTAGAGTTCTTAGGAGGAAAAAATATGGTGCTTCTTTTCAAATATTTTCGTACCAACTGCAACTTAGAATAAACAACTTATACATGTCATATATCATATGTGGTAGGTAATGCTGTTCCCCAGATGCCAGTTTCCAGGAAAAGAGTGCACAATTTATCCCAACAATTTATTCCAGTAATCAGACTATTAAAATACCCTTTTAGGTGAAATTTTCCTTACTGTTTCATGAACTACAAAAACATATACGACAATAAAATATTAGTACCCTGGCCAGCATTAGAAACACAAAAATCCAATTATAGTTGTTTTTAAGAAAAAAAGGAAAGAAAAAATACATGAACAGTTTACATAAACCAGGAAAAAGCTAATCACAAAGAAATGAAAAATATGTACGAAAAGTTCTTTATCACATAAGATATGTTGAAAGAATGGGGAGATTGCAGAATTTTATTTTGGGGTGGCTTAGGGATGACATTAACCAGTCCACAGTCCTATTGGTTTGATTAAATGCTTCCAGAAAATAAAAGTGAAGCCTTTTCATCTTGACCCTTTTTCAACTTTTCTCCTCTAAGACACTTTAAGAAGAAAACACAATTATTATAGAACCCATCAGTTTGTATTTGGTCTCCTACTTTTTTTCCCCAAAAAATACATATCAACTTCCCACGCATTATTTCCCAATTCCAAAAACTGGTATCATGGATTCTTAAGTATACACTTTACACTAAACGGGCTGACTGTTATGGGAAAGATCTCGCATACTTAATTATCATTTTATTTCATCCGGTACAAGGATGCCATCTACAGACATGACTGCGCATTTCCATGAGCTTCTCTGAAAGGATTCAAAATAAATGTTATAAGGAAGGATTCCAAAAGATGTAGTTATTATCCTGATTCTTTTGTAACATTTGTTCCTTTTTGGACTAAAATAAGTTTGAAGAATAATTCATTCCCATTATGTACCATGAAAATGTTCTGGGCAATCCATGCATTTATAATCCAAAAGAATTCGAATTCCTGTCGAAAGATAGAACAATATGTCAAGAGCTGGCATTGCATTTTGGTGTTTTGGGGGAAATCACAAAATAAAATGGACTAGGTATGTGATACTGGCATTCCTATGAAGTGCCTAAAATGAAGCTAAAATTCAGAATTAACACAGAAAGAATAATTTAAATTACTTCCTAAGCTGTAATAATAGACTTCCAGAACAAACATTTTTTATACTGGAGAGATGGAAAAAGAGAAATACGTGTTCTTAGTACAGACACTTGACATCTTTTTTCCCTTTAACTCTCACATCTTCTCACTTGTGAGGCAAGTTTTAACTGAGCCATACCCAGGTTAATCAATTTACCAAGTCCACACTGCTAAGTGATAGGGTGAAGATTCAGACACATGATTGCTAACCTCAAGTCTAATCCACTTTCCATTGTACCAAAGCCATAAATCTCAGGGGAAATCCTTCACAGCTTTAAAAATGGGAGAAGGGGATTTGATACTCTCACTGTTGTAGGGAAACTTGCAAAAAGCGTCTTCTATGTAGCTTTCAAATACACATTATTACATACTAACTACTAAGCTCTGCTGCACCGGATGTTTTTCTTGCAAAGACATACTATAAATAAAAATTGTAATAAAATATGATCCAGGAAACAGCTGGCTGCTGGGATGAAATCACATAAATGACTAAGTAGTAAATTACCTTCTACTTGATTTCAATGCTGGGTGAATTCGTCCTTTCTTAAACTAGATAAAAATAGGAACCAGCAATGAGGGACCCCAACTGAGTGCATCCTTTCCCTCCCTGAAAGCAAATCCATCACATTCTTCATGTGATGCTTCCCTGCTGAAGTACCATCTCCTTGAAAGAAAGAAGCACAACCGAGAATCCTCCAATTGCCATTCTTTTAAGCATTCACTCAACAATACTTTCCAATGCCCACCTTGAGTATCACAGGTAGACAGTATACAATTTTGAACAAAACAAACACAATACTTGCACACGAAGAGCTTACAGTAGCAGAAGGGTGAGGGGCTTGGAGGCGGGGCAGTCAACACGCAAATAAATTACACACAGTAAATCATCATTAAATATTTATTAAATGAAGCCTCTCCTTGCTAAAGTAGGCCTTACTGATCTCTCCCTCTCATCTCTCTGAGGATCACAGCACTTAAATTTTATAATATTATTTAGCTAGGTAAGCTTCCCAGGGAATGGAACAATATGTTATACTCCTTTGCTCTCCTAACATAATCAAATACAATATATCAACATGTACAGTATTTCATGATGTGCTGGGGTAGCAGAGGAAGTGGGAGGGAGGAGTGGCATGAGGGAAGGAAGAAGGAGTAAACAAAGAAGAAAGTGGAGAAAGAGGCCACTTCATTTGAATTATTATTTGCTTTCAGGAAAATAAAATATGTCTAACTCAAGAAAAAATGAATTCTATGTATGTGGAAACGAAACAGAAATGGTAGAAAAACACAGATCTAGACAGAAGCACTGTTTTAGTCTTAAGTGAGAAATTGGGTCTCACGCAGGGTGTGGAGGCACAGCGGGAGGCAGAGCTGAGCCTGGTGGTGTCATTGACAGCAGCTGGAGGGAGGATACCTCACATCGTGCTCACTAAGGAATCATAATGTCCAGATTTTCATTTATTTGAGTCAGATGATTTATGTGCCTGGGGAGCAGCACACTGACTATCACAGCGTCTATATCATTTTTTGTGTGTGGATACAATGCTATAAAAACACAAATATTAGAAAAATTCAAGGAAAGGAAAATAGGGGAGTAAACAGTATAAATTGCTTTGCCTCACTTATCCACCAAGAGCAATGCATGTTCTGGTTGGCTGTGGTCTCTGACTTTACTTTGTCTTCCAGGCTGGAGTGCAGTGGTGCAATCATGGCTCATTGTAGTCTCGACCTCCTGGGCTCAGTGTTCCTGAGTAGCTGGGACTACAAGTGCATACCACCAGGCCTGGCTAATTTATTTATTTATTTATTATTATTATTTTCTTTTGTAGAGATGGGGATTTGCTGCATTGCCCAAGCTAATTTTAAACTCCTGGCTTCAAGTGATCCTCCTGCTTTGTCCTCCCAAAGTGCTGGGATTACAGGTGTGAGCCACCATACCCAGCTTCTTTCCTTAATGAAGGTAGTAGCTTTCCTAGTCATTCTATTGCAGGCTTATTGGTCTCATAAAATTAGCACTGAAAACAAAATGGTTAATTTCCACATTCAGACTCATACAATTCTTTAAACAATTGGAATGCAAGTTATGTCTATACTGTTCTTGAAATATTCCAAATGGCATAGAGAAACTGAACCATAGGTGTTTCCTACTCTCATGTATAACAGCATTCAATTAAAAAATAAAGCTGTGGCCAGGTGCGGTGGCTTATGCCTGTAATCTCAGTACTTTGGGAGGCTGAGGTGGGCGGATCACCTGAAGTCAGGAGTTCAAGACCAGCCTGGCCAACATGGTGAAAACCCATCTCTACAAAAAATATAAAAATTAGCCAGGCATGGTGATGGGTGCCTGTAATCCCAGCTACTCAGGAGGCTGAGACAGAAGAATCGCTTGAACCCAGGAGGTGGAGGTTGCAGTGAGCTGAGATCACGCCATTGTACTCCAGCCTGGGTGACGAGAGTGAAACTCTGTCTCAAAATAAATAAATAAATAAATAAATAAATAAAGTTGCAGAATACATATGATCAAAAACTACTGCATTCCACTAAGAACTTGCAAATGAATTTTAATATCCTGCTTGTAAAAATACCGAATATTATGATGTCAGGTTCCTTTTCCCCTACTATGCTGTTGTAACTGGATATACAAAACCTGCAAATGGGAGCTAGCTAGCTAGATATGGAAATGTTTCTATGTATACAGAGAGAGACATCAACAGACATACATACAAATACAAAATATCAGATATAGTTTCAAGAGTACATAAGTTATCCCTGAAAGCTATATTAAAACTTTCAGTTAGCCGGGCGCAGTGGCTCATGCCTGTAATTCCAACACTTTGGGAGGCCGAGGCAGGCAGATCACAAGGTCAAGAGATAAAGACCATCTTGGCTAAGATGGTGAAACCCCGTCTCTACTAAAAATACAAAAAATTAGCCAGGCGTGGTGGCACGTGCCTGTAGTCCCAGCTATTTGGGAGGCTGAGGCAGGAGAATGGCTTGAACCCGGAAGGCAGAGGTTGCAGTGAGCCGAGATCACGCCACTGCACTCCAGCCTGGGTGACAGAGCAATACTCTGTCTCAAAAAAAAAAAAAAAAAAAAAAAAAAAAAATCAGTTAAGATAATCCAACAGTCTAAATATTATCTTATCAAAACCAGTGTACACATGAACAAGATTTAACTTTTGTGAGAGAAGGTATTTTAAATGCTTAAGTAGCTAAGCCTTTAAAAAATGCTATGCTTATTTTCTTATTTATTTGTTTTTCTAAACTAATTAGGTTATTTCCAATTCAAAATTTCTTACTTTTACAAAAAGAGTAGATACTGGGAGAAATTTGAATCAGTTCAATGCCTGGCACCTTTTCTAAATATCCCCTGTTATATCCAATACTCGGCAAACTTCATTCCTAACCCCCACTCCTGATTTGAAAACCATGCATGAGGATGCTTCTGATATTGATCATCCTGGTTTCTGCTCTGTCAAAGACCAACCCGGCCTTGGCACCAACCACCTTGTGAAAGAATACAGTTCTGTTCTGCAAATTCTCTTTAGTGAGGTCTGGAGGTTCTCACTGTCATTCTAAACAAGAATTTGAGACTTGGCAGCCCAATGCATGGCTGCCTCTGTACTGCATCACAGCAGCCGAAATCTTGGCAGCTAGTCAAAAGCTCGTGAAAATTTCAAAGGTACAAAGCTCCCCTCAGAGCTCCAAAGAAGCAAGGGAGCTTTCAGCAGGATCATAACAGGTGCATCAAAGTAATGCAAAGGGGAGAAAAAGGCTTCTTGGACCTAGCAACAAATAAATTTATAAAAATAAACATGCACACATAAACCCTGTTTTATATGTGTCAAAAAAGCCCCTTTCAATATTCAGCAAGTAACTGCAAAAGGATCAAAAGAAACCTTTATAAACTACAAAAGGTGACAAGTATAAGAATTGTTTCCAGCTTAAAGATGGAAATGTCTCATTTTGGAATTTCAAGTCACAGAAATGTAGTACTTCCGTGACACTTTGGGCTTAAACTGCAGAAAATGCATTTTTAACAGGTAAAATGTATGTGAGAGACAATGAATACAGACTTCATTTGGGCTCTGTGTTTCTTGACAGCATTCCAAAGATGTCAAGACATTTTTACCAATAGACTCTTGCAAACTGGGTCAGAGGGTAGAAAAAGCGAGAGCTTTCTGATTTTTCAAATGTTGTCTTCATTTCTGCTATTGAGGTTTATGTTACTCCAACAGTTAAGTGATTGGTGATATAGATTAACAGAAATTGAGAAAGCTACCTTCTTTCTCTGCTGGTGAATAGGATAAAAACGCTGAGAGAGTGAAATAAGTACAGAATAAGAACTCAAACAACACAGGAAACTGTGAAATACTGAAGAATATACCAAACAAAAATGAATATGTACTAGAAAAATGCTGGATTGGAATTAGAAGAGGACAAATTGGACATTATTGTAGATTCCACTACAAGATTTAAATTTGGGAAGTTATTTAAGCTTTCTAAGTCCTTGTTTCCCCATTTGGAAACCATGAGCAACAACACATGTTCTAATCACTTCATAAGTGTGTGGCAGAGTATAAAGCAGCTAGTGTGCTAAAGTACTTCATAAATATTTTTCTAATAAACCATATTTTCAGTTTTCTTGCTTTTTCATTTTCCTAGCAGTGTTTCTTTATTCCATACTTTCAAAGCAACAAAAAATTTATGTGTTTTAAAAAACAGGCACATAAATATAGAGGGGCACAACTTAACAGTTCTAAGAAATAGAACAATAAGATTTAATCAACTTAAAAGCAAAGACATTTTTATATTTATAGTCTGGACTTCTGCAAGTGTTTGTCTGAATCTGCTAATTTCATCTTAGTTAATGCATTCATAAATATTTTCTTCAATGAAAGTTCAGACCTTTCCACTTCAGCCTAAGGCAACAGGTACTACCTGCCACTTTATTCACAGTCAGTCTAGTATATTTCAGGTACTACCCGCCACTTTATTCATAGTCTATATATTTTGTTTCACTAGACTCAGCAACCTGTTTCAGAGCATGGGTCTAACTCATTCACACTGCAGCTCCACGTTGTAGGCATGCTGAGAAAGTGTTCTGAGTGTTGAAGTGTATTTAGATCTTCGCTGTGATGTAGTAACATAATTCAGGAAAGATGTTACCAATGTGTGACTGCTTTTAAGCTACAGATTCATACCAGAGACCAACATTTTGGAGCTTCTTATTTGGATTATGATTATTTAACACAGTCCACAGTGTAGTGGATAGTTATAATGACTTTGTTTTGCCCATGGCAGTATTTTGTTCAAGGTCATTTGTACCAGAGAAATCAATGACCTATTAATGTAATTTCCACAAGAAGTGATCTCTCAAAAAATACTCTAAATATAAAGTTGCTTTATGTTCATGCTATTAGGATAGGAGTGGTTATAAAATTAAACAAAGTGGATAGAAACTGAACGTTGTAATAACACAGTTTATACCTGTTAAAAAATTACATCACCAATAGAGCTTATAGGTTCTTCCATTGTCTCTACACAATTATTTCTGTTAATGTGCTGTTAATATACTGTTTATCATTATACAACATAATTGAGAAAAAAATTCAAATGAACATAAACCTAAAACATCCATTTAAGAATATTTTATATGAAATTTTCAAAATTAGAGAAACACCTTACAGATAAGTAACACTTATCTGTCTTCCCTGTTAGAAAACTAGAATTAGTGTGATTACTATTACTTTCATGCAAATTTTAAAAATTAGTCTTAATATATCAGATGTCTTTAGGTCAAATTCTAATTGGTATTCTGAAACAAAATTATTTTAAGGGTCAAGGCACTCAAAGATTCAAGTTTTAATTCTAGATTCAATTAGCACCCAGACTATTTTTTAAATTGTAAAATAGGTCATTTTACCTTTAAGGAAGTTGTGACAGTTTTAACGATTTTGAAATTTAATGAAGGCAGACACGAGTTAGTGTTATGTCAATATTTTCCTTTCATTTGCTAAATAATGTTGAGAATGTGAGAACTTTTAGAATATGTAAAATATTTCCTGGGTTCTTTTTTTTTTTTTTTTGGTTACACAAAATCTCTGTGATTCTAAATAAAAAGGAACAAAGAAATAAGAAAGGTGTTCCTCAAAATCCTATTAAGTGATAAAGTATTAAATATTAGATTAAGATTTCCCTTCATTAGTATTAACTATTTTTCCTTAATGTTTTACTATAACATCTGGTGACATATGGAAAAGTTTATATTGTACAACTAAAGTAATGATTTAAAATATGTATAACCTGTTATAACGACATAGCATAATTGGTTCAATCATCCGTCTACTATTGGACCTTGAAGTTATCCTCCCTTTTTCATTATCCTGAGAGACACATCATAGTTATTTCAACAGATTTTTACTCTATTTTTATTTATTATGTTCCTGTGTTAAGCCAAGGTCTTTGAGAAATTAAATTATAACAGTTTTACTGTAGTAACTAAATTGATTAATTCATTCAGCAAAAAGAGAGAGTTCTCTTATACAGACTACATAATTGAAGAGTTTATAGAAAGAACACTGTCTTTGCATTCAGATTGGACTTTAAGTTCAACCATTCCCTGGCACTATAACATAAGGTATTATGACTTAATATTCAAATACTGTGCCCTAATCTGCAAAATAAGAGATATAATAATGTCTCTTGTAGGAAGCATTAAATAATACAACTTACATAATTATCCAATAAGAATTCTAGAATGTAACAAATAAGCCATCATAGTCATTTTCTATCTTTCCAAAAGATAAGAAAAATGACATCTTAGGGCCTGGTCATATTTAACACACTTGAAACTCCAGTTTTAGTATTCTGATATCGCACTAATTAATTCTCTGAAACTAATTTTGTTTTTATTTACTGAATTCTCTCCAAATTTCTTGTAGTTTCAATGTTAAAAAAAATATGATTTCCTCCCTTGGAATAGAACCACTTAAGACAATTTTATACCACACTTATTAAGTGTTGTTTTTTAATTGCACATAATTCCCTGAGAAAAATCTGAATCCCTGAATCTTAGATTTCACACCATAACCTTCCCTAAAGGCTTATTAGCATATGCATCAAAAAAACGAATGAACTATTTCCTAATGTCCACTTCTTACCAGATTAATATTACAAAAAGGCAATTTTCATTTTACCTTATATGTCACATATTCACGAGAATTTTTCACATATATATTTAAAATTTTGTAGAGTATATTCAGTATATGTTTCAACATGTCTTTGGGCCATATGTATTCTGTGCTAAATTTCTCTTTATTAAAAAAACAAAGCAGGAGATGGGAGTTTTATGTGTGGGAAATGAATTCAATTATTATATTCTAAGGGAGATAAGAGAGGAAAATAAATTTCCAGTTAATTCTGTAACAAACAAAAGTAAGCAATATAGCTGAGAAATTCATCTGAGCTGACAGTTGATTATATATATAACTTTTCTCTAACAGAGCCACAACCAACAAGGCCATTATAGTTCCACCAAGTCAAACGTCAGCCAGAGGATTTACAGTTTTGACACTTGGCAAGGCAAAGCAAAGCAAATGTGAAGGATCCTCACTTACTTGTTAGTCAAACTTAGTGTCAGAAAAAACTATTCATCATTGGTTGTCAGTTACAGGATAGTTCTCTGTCACTGGAAACTTCTGCAGACAGGATAATTGCTATGATTAAACGGCAGTGGATTTCAAATATTTCAGTAGTGGTTAAAATAACTGTTGAATACTGATGGTATAATAGCAAATCAAAGGTACAAAACTGTCCACTAATTATCCAGAGTATAAAATATCTGATGTTGTGTAAGTATAATGCCAAAGCACATTCACAGGTACAGAAATTGATGAGGGCTTAATCATGCTTTTTGGAAATATAGTAAAGATGATAATCCTTTTCTACCTTAAAAATAAATTTTAGACAATGTCCTTCAAGTTATACAGTGTGTATTGTTGACAATTTGCTCTGATTATATAATTTAGCCATTGCTTTCAATTTATTTATCTATATTTTCTGATTATTCTTCTAACACAAAGATATTGAGGGCTTTCTCTGTGTTAGGCAAGAGCTGCAAAACTAAGTCCTGAAATACAGAGATGTGAAACAATGCTAGCACTGGCTCAGAAATAGTTTATTGCCTCATGAAATTTTTAGCTTAGTCCTATTCCCATAAATGCTTCTATGTGAGTGGCAGGGACTGGGGAATACCTCAGTGTCCTCCAATGACAAGCCGTGTCCTAAGCAGTAGTTTGAAGGTATCACTTTGGAGAATTTAGGTCTGGAGACTACAGAAATCAGCGAGGTTTCAAAGAATCATTATTACATTGCAAAGTCTCATGGGCAGGAGTAGACAAGAAGTAATATGTTGTATTTCCTCTTTTGTAGCATGAGTTAGTTGATGTAAATGTTCACTGTGCTTTCTCTGTCTTTGAATTATGTATAACAACCCAGATAGTAAAGAGCTGTCAAGAGGCCAGGAGATTTCAAATAAACAGGTAAGAGCATACTCCAGGAAATTGTAAAATAACTAATTAGAGTCCACGTGTTCAGTGTCAGTTCAAAGATGCAGACAGATAGGTGCTCAACAGATGGAATATGTTAGAACCCATAAAAATGACCAAGATGGGAAGGCACAAAATCGGCAGAGCTACAATCAATAACCAATGAATTGGTACTCTCTACTGTCTTTCATATGGTATTTGGGTCTTTGTAGGTTATTCAATCATGTCTGAAGTGATGAAAAACCATTATTCATTCTCAAGGCAAAAGAGTTATATATGCTTTTGGGAAGAAGGAGGATAAGGGAAGGTTTTTAAACTTTTACAATGGGCCATACTACATGTAGTATACGAATCATCTAAAATTCATTTTTTTTCCTAGAAAGATAGATCTTAAACAGTCTAGAAGTAATAGATAATGTGGTTCATCACAGCTGTATACTCTTAAATTCAGATTTTCTGAATCCATCCCACATTATACTATGCCAAATACATTCAACAGTGAACTATACAGTTGCCTCCAAGAAATTCACTGCACATTGGTCTGTTCATTGCTTTAAGAAACCTTGTGGTTAAAAACAAACAAAAAATGTACTTAGTATGTTTTACAATGTAGCATCTCCAAGATAATTTAAAACTAATTTTCCTTGTTGTTTCTCTGAATATCTCTCAAAAGAACTGTTGGAAAATATTGCTTGACATGATTGATCTTCCATTTGATTGACCTGCATTTACACCCATGTCTATTTTGTTTAGGCGATCAATTCGTTTGTCAAGAGTGCTTTTATAATTATGCATGAAAATGCACAACAGATTGTCATTCCTCAAAAATGCTACTATTATCACCCGTAATTAAGTCTACCAAATTTACAATAGAAAACAAACACAAGGAGAACAATGGCTAGTTGTTAGATTATTTAGCAATCAGAGGTAAAAATAAGTAGCAGAAACAAAATTGTTCTCACTTCTCAAGTTATTTTTCAAAGGACAATGTTGCCTTATTAACTAACATTTGATTGGGGACATTTACAACCATTAATCTAGAAAAGAAATTCTTCTACTCCAATGTGCCTCCTCTACTTACATGCATGAATGAGTGTGTGCCCATTTTCTTTAAATTCCAAGTTACTTATCATTCATTAGGTCATCTTTTCATATGAACAAAATTTTTGTGGTAATTTATGATAACTGAAAAAACAAGATGTGGGGTGATTATAACTCTATTTACATATTTCTGCCTGCATCTGTATCATATCAAAAAAGGTAAAATCTGTTGATTCTCACAACTTACTAGCCAAATCTTAGATGCTGGTTGAAAATGAAGATACCTGGGTTAGTTCCCCAAAACTATGATTAATCTGGTTGGGAGTAGGAGCTAGAAGCCTATTCTTAATAAACTTTAGTGAATCTGATATTAGTTGGTGTGGGAAGCAGGCTTAGAGAAATATTGATCTATTGCAAAAGGCACACTTCTCTTTGGACAACTGAAAAAAAGAGCATGCATTAAATGCATTAAAACTCTATTAAGAATATTCCCATAAAATGGTTCCAAAAATATATTGATATAGTATATGAGATGTTGATAATTTTCAGGGAGATGCTGATAATGTTTTTAAATGAATGAGTTCATTTGTTTTGGCTTTTCCTCCTCCCCATTTCTCGCTAAATATTGTTGATCTGCCACCTTTTAAAAACTAGATGACACTCTTCCACTTCCCACTCTCACTAATATACTCACAGCTCCTCTTTAGTGAAAATTCTATTGAATGTTTTTGTGCTCAAATAGAAAGGGAAAACACAGGAGCACTTTATTACTTAATCTGGGAGAAGTTACTGACCTTATCTGAAATTTATTTCCTGTCCTGTAAATTGTGCTAACACAGTACAGTGTTATTTTAAGGATCAAATTTAAAAATGCATGTGAAAAGTCTTTCAAAAATAAAGAGGTGTTGTAAGAATGTGAGGCATCACCCCCTGCCATGCATTCATTTGAATCCTCCCATTTAAGAATGGTTTTTTATTGCGTTAAAGTAAAAAAAAAAAAGAAATTAAATTAATTAAACCAAGTAAAGTTTAATTAAATTAAAAAATAAATTCTGCTATTCTATGAAAAAATAAGTTCCCTAAATAAAAAATTCATTGCATTTGGCCAGGTGCGGTGGCTCATGCCTGTAATCCTACCACTTTGGGAGGCCAAGGTGGGTGGATTGTCTAGCTCACGAGTACAAGACCAGCCTGGGCAATACAGTGAAACCCACTCTCTACTAAAACACAAAAAATTAGCTGAGCATGGTGGCAGATGTCTGTAGTCCCAGCCACTCGGGACGCTGAGGTATGAGAACCGCTTGAATCCGGGAGGTGGAGGTTGCAGTGAGCAGAGATCATGCCACTGGACTCCAGCCTGGGCAACAGAGGAAAGACTCGGTCTCCAAAAAAAAAAAAAAAAAAAAAAAAAAAAAATTATTGTATTTGTTGAAGGTTCACATAGAACAAAACATGCTATTGAAATTTCAGTAGAAACTTTTCCACATATTTTAAAAAGGCGAATCTTAGTCCACTGCTAAAAAACAACATTTTCATGAATGTTTTGCTTGAGCTTGCAAAGCCAAACAAAACTCTGGTACTTTATATAAGAGAGATATTCTTAGAAGCCTCTGCCACCTAGTGTACAAAAGCCATCCTAGAAATCTAAATGACTTAGTTTAATTGCCTTATATGCTACATCTTGTCTTCAGAGAATTATCTTTAAGTATGTCCAGGTCAGATTTGAAGTTATAATTTGAAGTGGGAATAACACACACACACTGCATTTTCTAAAGAGCATCTGGCATGAGAATCAATACAACACTTCATTTTCATTTTAGCAGCACTTTAAATTAAAGTCCCATTTATAAATGTTTTAATAAGGCAATAAGAGACTCCTGGGTATGTTCTAGTCTTTCATTAATATACACGTCTTGTGTGTTGCGAGATACATGCTTACTGAATAAGTCCCTTTGACCAAAGTCAAATTAATGATCCAATAAAGCAAAGCCCATGGTATCTTAATAGCAGCAAAATACACTCTTTAATTTGGAAGATAAAATATTATATTTTCCTTTCCAACAACTTGTAAGTACATGCATAAAAGAAGTATCAAGGGATTCAAAGAAACAGCAAAGCTTCTTTAGCCATATTTTTACACGCAACATGTCTCCCCACCTCTCATTTTTAGCTTTAGATTTAATTATTTCCAGCTCAGTTTTACAGAGGGGTAGAGGGTGGAACTTGAGGGTTGGCCGTGGAGGAGTTTGTAAAGCTATACTCTTTAAAAATGTGTTTAAAAGTAAAACATCAACCACACCACTCCCTCTCTCCATCCTGTCATTGTTTTCAAGTCACCCACTCCTCTGCCCAGTTTGCTAAAGGCAGGGGGAGATGTGTGAAGGTTATGTTCTGCCATGTGGTTCAGAGAAGCAAAATTTTCCTGCAGCTCTAAATCAGTTCACAATGAACCAGAACTCAGCAATGCGCTCTCACTCTCTGCTCATTCTGCTACCTGACATTCTTGAGAGGAACCAGATGGCCCTCATGTCAACCTGGCCTGCCAGGTCTGGTATTGAGATTTCATCTCCTTCCCTTCAGCTGCCTGAGCCTGAGTGAAGTTCACATGCACACATCTCCAGTAAAGTCTCACTGTAATGGGCAGGTCTTTCTTGCACTTTTGCCCTGCCAAACCTGCCTCTCTTAGGGACTCAAGATGGCATAATGCCTTGTTATTTTAATGTGCTCTGCAATGATTGAACTGTTCTCAGGAGATCATTTTTGCACATCAAAACCCATTAAAATTAGCGAGAATTATCAGGAAATGAGCAAATAAAAAAGAATAATTCATCTCTCTCTCCCTCTCTCTGTTTTAAAATTGCCAAGCCTCCTTTTGATGGCTAACAGCAACTAGTAGCAGAAAGCGTGCATCAGTTAAATAAAACATTAGCTTTAAGCAAAAGATGTCAAGAAATTTTTCCAAATTATGTGTTATGATAGCAAGCTGGTGAGCACTGGGATTAAAAACCAATGTCATGATTGTAAAGCATGTGCTGGCACTTTGAAGTGGCAATAAGATGTTGGGGGAGCAAGGACCATGAGTGAGTACAGACGAGAGCTATAGCTATACTACTGCATATTTCTTGGGAAAACATGCAGCAAACATCCTGATCAGAGACTAACAGGCCCTCACAAGAGTGACTTTTTTTAAAATCAAGAATAACTTTTATTGTTAAGAAAGCATAACCAGCAATAAAAGTACTATTTTTGGTTCTAAATGATAGAAACCCAAATATATTTTGTTCATGGTACAAGGAAGCCTAGGGTCAAGTTGATTTCAGAAGTGACTAGTTCCAGATATTCAATGAGATCTTCATCTCTCTTCTGTTTCTGTTGTATTTCTTTCTGGGCATCTGTCTCCTTTTCTCCATGTCTCTTTGCCCCTGTATATTTCTTTCTGCATATCTCTCTGCATTTTCTGTCTCTGTCCCCTTGTTGTGTCTCTTTCACTGCATTGCCTTTCTCTCTATTTTTCTAATTTGTTGTCACTATTTATCTGCATTTTTCTATCTCTGCATTTCTTTATGCATCTCTCTATTTTTCTGCATTTCTCTTTCTCATCACCTCATATCTTATCTCATCTCTTTTCCTCTGTGTGTGTGTGTGTGTGTGTGTGTCTGTCTGTCTGTCTGTCTCTGTTATATATGTTTCTAGAATGTCTACCAGAGGCAACTTAACAATTTTAGGAAATTTAATTCAACAATTAATTTAAAAATTAATTTAAAAATCTAACAATTGTTAAACTTAATGTAACAATCTTACGAAAAATTCTGATTGGCCAAGCCTGGGTAACACGCACACCTTTTAAACACATCATCTTGTGTATGGGACACTGACAGCCAGTATTGTGGAGAGCAACTTTTTTATAATGGTGAAATTTATGGTAAGAAATAACATTCATATCATAAACCAATACATACACACATACATACGTATGACCAGGTACAGATGTGTGTATGTCTGTGTGTGTGTAAAATCAAATGGAAAATTTCACAAAAATAATACTTAGGTTAACTATGAGTGATATAACTCCTCTTTTTGTATTAAATACAAAAATATTAAAATACAAAGATGATCTCCAAAATGAGATGTAAATTGATTTCATCACCACAACTTTACAGTCTGAAAATCACTTTTTAAACTATTTTCATTTTAGAAATTTTATGAACAGGGTGAATCATTTAAATTAACATCTCAATACTTATAGTACTAAAATGATTTCTCACCAATAATATAAAATGATGTAATCATTTAGTTAATGACAATTTTTGGTTTCCATCATAATTACTAAAAGTTAAGCAACCCATCTTCAAATTGTTTGAGTTCTGGGTACTTGCAACAGATTATTTTGACTATTTTTAAAACATCTACTTGGTAAGAAAGAAGCAAAAAACACCATCATCTATTTATTTTCTACTACATTATTTACTCTTACTTTTGTGTTAATTAGTCCCCTTAATCCTTGTAACAATCCAGTCAGAGAAAAGTATTAGTATTAATATTATTATCTTCTTTTATGAGTGAGGATGCTAAGAACCAACAATGCTCAGGTAACTTATTTAAAGCATTCATTTCTCAAGTAGAAGAGACAGAATGAGTCCATGCCTTTTGATTGCGAGTCCAAGGTACTTTATTTAATATTATGCTAATACTCACTACCACATGCTAGTGAAAGGTGAAGCTGGCTGGGCTTCCGGGTCGGCTGGGGACTTGGAGAACTTTTCTGTCTAACTAAAGGATTGTAAACACACCAATCAGCACTCTGTGCCTAGCTAAAGGTTTGTAGATGGACCAATCAGTGCTCTGTAAAATGGACCAATCAGCAGGACATGGGTGGGGCCAAATAAGGGAATAAAAGCTGGCCACCCAAGCCAGCAGCAGCAACCTGCTTGGGTCCCCTTCCATGCTGTGGAAGCTTTGTTCTTTTGCTCTTCACAATAAATCTTGCTGCTGCTCACTTTGGGTCTGCAGTACCTTTATGAGATGTAACACTCACCACAAGGGTCTGCAGCTTCATTCCTGAAGTCAGTGAGACCACGAACCCACCGGGAGGAACAAACAACTCTGATGCGCCACCTTTAAGAGCTGTAACACTCACTGTGAAGGTCTGTGTCTGCACTCCTGAAGTCAGTGAGACCACGAACCCACCAGAGGGAAGAAACTCCGGACACATTTGAATATCTGAAGGAAGAAACTCTGGACACACCATCTTTGAGAACTGTAACACTCACCACGAGGGTCCGCAGCTTCATTCTTGAAGTCAGTGAGACCAAGAACCCACCAGAAGGAACCAATTCCAGACACACTATGTCTTTTGATAACTTAAATATTGCTCTATAAGATCTGACATGTAAATACACAAATAAATAGTTCTGTGATTGAATGCTTATATGTTTAGTACATAGGGACATCTGCTTTAACCATGCCTAGAAATCCAAGGCAGAAAACGCAACAAAGAAGATAATCTTCTTATTTAGGAATGTGGTATGATGAAGTGCCTAGCCACAGAGAGCTGTCACCTCCCTGTGGCACTGTGGTATGCTGGGACTTGGAATGTGGACATTGGGATGGAACTGCTTGAATTCAAATACTGGTGCAACTAACTATTTGGTATGTGACTTTGCCCACATCAACTTAGCAATAGCAAATAGTGATAACAATAATATTCCCTGCCACAAAATGTTACCACAATGCTAAGTACGTAGGAAGCATTCAATAAATGTTGGTTATTAGAAATATTTCCACTGTCAAGATGTAGCTATGTAGCTTTTAAAAATTGTGACATGAAGATACATAGCAATTAACCACTTATGTTTCTATTGTTGGTGGACCATCAATTTGATTTTGTCATCAGCTATATGGTCCAATCCGTAACTTCAAAGATGTATTTCTTTGACACAGCCAGAAAATTTTTTCACAGGGGAACAACATGTATAAGAAACACAAGGAAGAACTGTGCCAAGAAAAATTATGAATGCTTGTAAAATTTGATCTTATTCAGGCCAAGAAACAATTGTAAATTCTGAAATGTGTTCATCATGTCAGATGGCTGAGCTTTCAAAAAACAAAATTAAACAGACCAAACATTCTGATTTCTGAAGAAAACACACACACACACACACACACACACACACACACACACACAAAGTATGGATGTCACAGGGAGTTAGTTCTGCTCAACATCTGGTTTGGATTTAGATAAAACCATAAAGAGAGTGATGATGAGATTAAACAAATGCTTTCTTACTGTTAATGGCTTTGATATTTGTTATGTAATGACTAGGCTATGAAAATCTTCCCACATTATTTCTATTTAAGAGAATTTCAAAGCTAAGAGAAAAAGGCAGAAAAAATTGGCGCCTAGACTGAAACTTAACAAGCATGTAGATTGTCTAAGCCTTGAATAATAAATATATAACAATATAAAAAGTTAATGTGATTTTAAAATATTAAAAGAAACAAAATTTAGCATTATAGTTAAGATCTCAAGATACACCAGCCATTTATCTTATAAAGACACTATGGAGACAGATGAGAGAACAACTTTGAAATGTGTAAAGTATATATACTACACATAAAGTTGAAAATATTAAATAGAAACGCGACTCTAGACTTCCATGTCTAAAAATCTGCCAAGTGTACCCAAACCTTTAGAAAGAAACATTATTAAAACATGTTCAAATATATGAAGGAGAAAAATTGCACAATCTGCTTTTAAAATGACTCCCACCTCTAAAAGGTCTTTTAAAAAACCTCTATTAACAAAAGAGATTAAGCATATTATGTACTCTGCACAAAAATAGCCACACTCATGATTAGAGGATTGAAAACGTAAACAGTGAAGATATTATAAGAGGAAACTGGATTGCTGTGAGTTAATAAAGAAGGGTAATAGGAGACGTTCTATAGGATTCCTACAGACTCCTCTCTCTGGGTCTTAGTATGTATCATGAATTTGAGTGACATATGTTTACTATTTTAGACTCCTGACCTTTCAGATTTTGGTGCATGTTTCTTTATGTGGAAAGACACAATAGGAAAACTAGATGAGAGAGACATTTAAATAGCTATTTAAATGAACTAATCTCATATCTCATTAATCCAAAGCAAATATTTTTAACTTTCAGGTACATAAATTTACAAATATTGTGTCTTTATTTTTCTATTATAATGTCAAGGTACAAGTGTCTGAATAAATTTCTTATTGAACTATTTTTTCATCAATATAAAAATAATCAGATTACTCACATAGTCTGCAGGAAAAATCATAAATCAGAGCTTAAAATGTCAATTTCCTTGAATTTCAAAGCAGTGATTTTGTTATTTAATAAATTAAGTTTAGAATATTGTGGAAGGATCTTAATTATTTAGATGTAAAAGAAAAAAAACTAGGGTTGATACTTGATACTTTCATTTTAATACTAATGAAAAATATGAGTCAGGAAGTTGTGTTTCCAATATTAACATTCCCATAGTTCTTTGAACCATTAAAAAGAATCTTAAATATTAATAAAAGTTGTCAACCTTTATGGTAGCAATAATATTCATGTTTGTGTTTGGTTTTCAGTAGAACACTGAAATATAAAAGAACTGAGTTTGTTCTCAAACTGCAATCATGTTAGCTAGAATCTATTGCAAGCAACCTATTATCTTTAATAAATGTATTCAACAAATACTGTTGGAGGATCTATAATGTTCAAAACACTACACTACATCCTATGCTGTATATAGATTGAAAATAGAAGGTATCACAATTAATATAGATTCTACGATATTCCCAGGCCTTAATTATTATAGATCCTGCTATAAAACATTTTATAGTATAGGGGGAAGAGACATAAACAAAGAAATCATATGCATTGAGAGGTAAATAAATTTTGAAATTTTTCTTTTTAAAAAAGAATCTCAAGTTTTATTTTAGAATCAGGGAACACATGTACAAGTTTGTTACATGGGTATATTGTGTGATGCTGAGGTTTGAGGTATGATTCATCCCATTGCCCGAGTGGTCAGCATAAGACCCAACAGTTAGTTTTCAACCCTTGCCCCTCTTCCTCCCTTCTCCTTCTAGTAGTCCCTAGCATCTATTGTTCCCATCTTTATGTCCGTGAGTACCCAATGTTTAGCTTCCATTTATAAGTGAGAATAGGCAATATTTGATTTTCCGTTCTTGCCTTAATTTGTTTAGGATAATGTCTTACAGCTGCAACCATGTTGCTGCAAAGGACATGATGTCATTCTTTTTTATGGCTGCATAATATTCCATGGTGCATATGTGCCACATTTTCTTATCCAGTCCACTGTTGATGAACACCTAGGTTGTTTCCATGTCTTTGCTATTGTGAATAGTACGGTAAGGAACATATGAGTGTGTGTGACACTTCTCAAAAGAAGATATTCATGTGGCCAATAAACATATGAAAAAAAGTCCATCACTGATACAGAAATGCAAAACAAAATCACAGTGAGACACCATCTTATGCCAGTCAGAATGGCAATTATTAAAAAATCCAGAAACAACAGATGCTAGCGAGGTTGCAGAGAGAAAGGAACACTTTCACACTGATGGTGGGAGTGTAAATTAGTTCAATCATTATGGAAGACAGTGTGGCAATTTCTAAAAGATCTAGAGGCAGAAATACCATTTGACCCAGCAATTTGGGTCAAATGGTATCTCTTTGGGTATATAATCATTACTGGATATATACGTAAAGGAATATAAATCATTCCATTATAAAAATACATGTATATTCATTGTAGCACTATTCATAATTGCAAAGACATGGAATCAACCTAAATGGCCATCAATGATAGACTGGATAAAGACAATGTGGTACATATACATCATGGAGTACTATGCAGCCATAAAAAGGAACAAGATCATGTCCTCTGCAGGGACATGGATGGAGCTGGAAGCTGTTATCCTCGGCAAACTAATGGGGGAACACAAAATCAAGCACTGAATGTTCTCACTTATAAGCAGGAGCTGAATGATGAGAACACATGGACACATGGTGGGGAACAACATACATTGGGGGCTGTCGGGGAGAGGCAGGGGAAGGGACAGCATCAAGAAGAATAGCTAGCTAATGGACGTTGGGCTTAATACCTAGGTGATGGGTTGGTGTGTTCTGCAAACCACCATGGCACACGTTTACCTATGTAACAAACCTGCGCTTCCTACACATGTGCCCCAGAACTTAAATTAAAAGTTGAAGAGAAAGAATTTGGAAATTTTTAAATGAGATGCATATGTAAAGTAAAATGTTAAGATGATAAAACAACATCTTATTTCCCTTCCTGGGCAAATTTGTTCATCATACTCTTCTGATTATCCTACACTTTTGGAACCACTCCTTTCACACAAATCCTATGTCAGTTACTTAGAAAAGCAAGATAATCTCCCTAACCTGTACTTTCCTATTTACTCTGCGCCCAACAATGTGCACTTACTTATCCCTTTCCTTGAGGCCTAATATAAATATTTACAAAAGCTGTAGCTATGTGTCAACCACGCTGTCAATCTGATGAATCTCACGGTGCTCTTTTGATGTCAACACAACCAAATAACAAGACCACCGGGCCAGCGAAGGTATCACAAGCATCTCAGCTGTCAGCACGACGCCTGCTCTGCCTCACCGTCACAGTTTTTCTTGTGTTTCTGGATGCCCATCTAGCAGGAAAAGCACTCTGTCTACATCAAATGTGGATGAAACTCATTCAAACCGCTGACTCTGATCACAGAGGCAGATGTAGAGCTCTTAATTTCGTCTTTCAAGAACCTGCTTTCTAATATCTAAATTAGATGTTAAATACGTTAAATATCTTTTTACTAAATATCTTGGCCAAATCAATGTTATCTGTCTCAGTTAAGAAAATCCTAAAGATCAGGGATTTGTCAAAATAGTCTTAGATGATTCATTTGGAAAACAAAAATTCGGAATTTTAATTTCATTTGTTTATTAAAATAGACTATTAGGGAGGGAGGTGTGTTCTCTATATTAATTTTTAAAATTTTTTTCTTTGAACTGCTAAAAATAAGTTTTTCAACATCAACAAAAATGCCACTACTTTTTGTAGCAACAATGTCTGTAAACTTTAACACGGTATTTGCCACAACATTCTAATTGAACTAGTACTATCTAAATGATATAATATTAAAATGAGAGTACACAGAAAGGGGAAGTAATCTAAAAATGAGGATTCTGGAGGTCAGTAATATTTCTATACTTAAGCTGACTTTGGGGACGGAAAGATTAGTATGAAGTTTTTCTTTAGGCAACTATCAAAATGACATTTTTTTTTAAGTGAGATAATTTATGTGACTCTGTGGCATAAAATATTTTGTAAAGGTAAGAAATTATGATCATTGTTAAATAGTATGGCTCAATATATTAGATAAAGTAGAGTAATACTATAATATATGAGATGAAATTGAAACTTACCAAGCACAGGTAACAAATACAAAGGAAAAATACTAATTTTAAAACTAAATACACCCTTGCAAAAGAAATTAAGCCTTCTTATCCTTGGCAGAAGAGAAAATATCAAGTCAAACTCTTTCATTCAAATAAAGCAGAAAAAATAAAACCTGAAGCAGACCAATAAATATTGAACAAGAGCCAAAAGAAACAAAAAAAAGCTCTGGTTTAATCTAGTCAAAGTGAGAGACAGGACTAGCTGGATTTCCTAGGCCGACTAAGAATTCCTAAGCCTAGCTGGGGAATGTGACTGCACCCACCTTTAAACATGGGGCTTGTAACTCAGCTCACACCGGACCCATCAGGTAGTAAAGAGGGCTCACTAAAATACCAATCAGGCTAAAAGCAGAAGGTAAAGAAATAGTCAAATCATCTATTGCCTGAGAGCACAGGGGGAGGGAGCCAGCAGTGGCAACAACCCCTTTTGGGTCCCCTCCTGTTGTATGGGAGCTCTGTTTTCACTCTATTAAATCTTGCAACTGCACACTCTTCTGGTCTGTTTGTTCCAGCTCAAGCTGAGCTTTGGCTCGCTGTCCACCACTGCTGATTGCTGTCATTGCAGACCCGCCATTTTGACTTCCAACCCTCCAGATCCGGCAGGGTGTCCACTGCACTTCTGATCCAGCAAGGCGCCCACTGCTGCTCCCAATCAGGCTGAAGGCTCACCATTGTTCCTGTGCAGCTAAGTGCCTGGATTCATCCTAATGGAGCCGAACACTAGTCGTTTGGGTTCCACGGTTCCTTTCCATGACCCACAGCTTCTAATAGAGGTATAACACTCACCACATGGCCCCAGATTCCATTCCTTGGAATCCATGAGGCCAAGTACCCCAGGTCAGAGAGCAAGAGGCTTGCCACCATCTTGGGAGTGGCTGGCCACCATCCTGGGAGTAGCCCGCCACCATCTTGGGAGCTCTGGGAGCAAAGACCCCCGGTAACAAAAGGAAGGCATTTACTTCTTCTCCCTCTCATACTTTATTACTATGGAAGTAAAGAAATCATTATGTTTTAAACTCACAAATAAGGATAAGGAATGCACTAACAGCAAAGAGAAAAACTGTAACAGGTTTCATAAAGAGAGCATGTGGAACAGTGGTGTCCAGTCAAGCAGGTAGAGAAAGCCCGGAATGCTCATGGAATGGGTTGCAGCCAAGGAGGGGTGAGTGTTCAACACACAGGATGCAGGGGCAGGGGAGGGAAGGGCAGGGTTAGCACCTCATTCACCAAGTATACTCGCAAGCTATGACCCATGGTAGGCAAGCCAGAAAATAAAGGTGTAAGTAAGCATCTTATTGAAAGCAAATGAAGCAACTAAGATACCCTAGAAGAAGTCAACATATTGTAATCAAACATGAAAAGGTAAGAAGGGTATCTAAGGAGTTAAGTGTTTTTCTTTGGCATCCATCCAAAAGCAATCAACAAATCATGGCTAAAATAGATATGCCAAGAAACAGCAATAAAAATATCTATTTAATAATGTGAAGATACAACAAAATGATCCCAAAACAGAAAGCTATAGTTTGTTGCCTATTAGGTTAGGATGAGGTAAGTCAGGGGAATTGTTGCTTTCAATGAGAAATCCTTTAATGCGATTTCACTTTTTTAAAGTGCATGGCTTATTTGAAATTAATAAAAATAAAAACTATGAACCAATATACACATTTTTAAAGAAATAAAATCTGTTCCCTAAATTTCAAGATGTATCAACAGTTAATGCCTGAACCAAACTTCTATTCAATAAGTATTCATTGTTTTGTGATCATAAAAACACTATATATATAAAAATATCCATACAGTGGCAGAACTATTATAAATTTATTCTTATTTTAATTTAATCTTAGCAGACATCTGTGGTTCATCCATAAAGAGACAGTGACTTTTGATCTTGTCAAATTTCTTCATTAAATAAAATTAACTTTCCTCCCTCCCTTCGTTTCTTCCTTCCTCTCCTCCCTTCCTTTATGCTTACATGCATTCTGTAATTAATTTACTCTGTATTCAGTAGCTGACCTTTAAATTAGGTTCTAGAACACAAAGATGAATAATGAAAACTACTTACTCAATTCTCTCTCTGGATAATGGGGAAGACACACCTATAAACTAATAATCACAATAAGTATGTTAAAAAACTGCCATTTAAAAGTAGCCCACTGCACTGTTTGAGCAGACTCAGGATTTGTCCTTGAACCAGGGTTTATAGCTAAAGGGAAGACTCACTTGCTAGACGTTAGACCCTAGACCTAATTTATTGTAGCTGTTTAAATATTTATTTTAGCAAGTAGTCACTTATTTATTAGCAAATTGATAGAATAGGATATTTTCCAAAATTAACAGGAGCCATCTCTCCTAAAATTCCTTAGCAGCCAGACATGTAATATCTTTAAGAAAATCAGAAGACATTTGTAGAGAGCTCTAACCAATACCCAGAAGAGGAAAGCTTCCTGGAAGCTGGTGATCCAGAGCCTGTCCCTTTTGGAGGTTTATAGGTGTTAGAATCGTGTGACAGGCTGAGATGGTATCTGTTGACAGTGAAGGCACAAAGGGCCCATTGGGTATGTCTGTGGAGAGTAGGGAAGATCCATTTAAAACAAAAAGAATTAGTTTACTACAGTTCTGGATCAGGGGCTTATAATTTCTAACCCTAGAAATCAGCCCTCTACTGTCTCACTAGTCTAAGATAAAAAGTCCTTAGTTCAACTTTGGGGTGTTGGAATTAAATAAGTCTTGAATAGAGATTTACACTTTAAGGAAATTATTCTTGAGGAAAATGGATCAGAAGGCAGAAAATAAAACAGAGGAATAATGCTGAGGCATTATTACATTACTAATAATTTTATATAATAGAATTTTGACTCGACACTGGAATACAATAGATACTACATTCCAACTCAAGGTACCAGACCCAAATGCAAAGATTTTAGCATAAAGTCTCAAACCCTCACCAGAGGGGAGATATGGTTTGGCTCTGTGTCACCACCCAAATCTCATCTCGAATTGTAATCCCAACATGTTGAGGGAGGTACCAGGTGGAGGCAATTGGATCATGGGGGTGGTTTCCCCCATACTGGTCTCATGATAGTGAATGAGTCTCACAAAATCTGATGGTTTTATAAGCATCTGGCATTTCCCCTGCTTGCATTCATTCTGTCCCATTGCCCTGTGGGGAAGGTGCCTACTTCTCCTTTGCCTTCCCCCATGATTGTAAGTTTCCTGAGGCCTCCCCAGTCATGCAGAACTGTGAGTCAATTAAACCTCTTTCTTTATTAATTATGCAGTCTCAGGTAGTTTCTTTATAGCAGTGTGAAAATGGACTAATACAAGGGGATAACAGATGCTCAGTGGATTTATTTTAAATGTGCTATGCTTTTCTAGAACAGACTCTGGAACCCCTCACACTGTGCAGTGATTATAAAAGAGTTTCTATAATGTGAAAGACTGACAAAAGATTTAAGAAGAAGATTTCTTTGGAAAGAGCTACATGTAGCTGTTTGAATGTTACCTTCTGATATGGTTTGGCTGTGCCCCCACCCAAATCTCATCTTGAATTGTAGCCCCCATAATCCCCACGTGTCATGGGAGGGACCCGGAATGGGCAGTAACTGAATCATGGGGGCGGTTTTTCCCCATGCTGTTCTTGTGATAGTGAATAAGCCTCACAAGATCTGATGATTTTACAAAGGGCAATTCCTCTGCACTTCTCCTTGCTGCCACCATGTGAAGAAGAATGTGTTTGCCTCCCCTTCCACCATGATTGTAAGTTTCCTTGGGCCTCCCCTGCTCTAAGGAACTGTGAGTCAATTAAATCTCTTTCCTTTAAAAATTACCCAATCTTGGGTATGTCTTCAGCAGCAGAATGAGAACAGACTAATACATCTCCTTATCATTAGCCTAGTGAGAAGAGTTTCAATGGAACGACTTGAAGGGTTTAACATGAATGGCCTCGAAAAGATGGACTTTCCCTCAAAGCTCTTCTAGATCCCACTACTGTTCAGGGTCATCTGTCCACATTACAGTCCTTAGTATAGTGATATTCAGAGAGACTCACGCGGCAACCACATGCTGCATAAAACACAACTGCAACCACATGCTGTATAAAATGTAGCAACCACATGCATTTTATACAGAATTGCTTTTGATCGAAGAATTCATTCGAAGCCAAAGAAATGCAGAAAAACTCATGCCCATGGAATTTACTGGTTTTACTATGAACTGTTACTTAGAAACAGCTGACCTAACCTAACAGTGGAATAGCTATTGAAGACACAACTGTGGCTCCAGGTTAGAAAAAAATACCCTGCTAGGCTGAGATGTGATCATAGAGAAGAGAAATATACTTTGAATGAGCCATCAACAAATGATACTATTTCACTCATAGCCAAACTACATGGGTCTAAGAATGAAAGGGTGAAAGTCAGAGTGGTCACTCTATTATAATGAATGCCCTATCAGTAGAATTTGTACAGTGTAATCCCATAATCAGGGGTTCTGCTGGTTTAGGACTTCTTAATTCCTGTGGGAGAAATGCTACCACCAGAAGACACAGAGCTTTTAATTAATTGCAAGTTGAGACTATCATTTTGCTCTTTTGTCTTCCTCCTATGTTACTAAACCAATAGTCATAGTTAACATGTGTTACTATACTAGATGTGTTGGTTGATTCTGGTTATCAAGAAATGACTGGGTTGCTGCTACGCAGTGAAGTCAGGAAAGACTGTTTCTGTAACCAAGAGTTTCACAGGGACACCTCTGATTTCATCCATGTTCAAAAGTAAAAGATAATGAAAGACTAAAGCAATTCAATAAAGCCAGGAACACTGAGAAATCTTCAAGAATAAAGGTTGAATTATCCAACCAAGCAATAACTCTTACTCTCTGAGATACTGTCTGAAAGCATGGAATTCGTTATGAAAGAAGAAAGTGATAGTTATCAATATGACCTTTAATCAATTATAAAAACCAAGTACTATTAGAATCAAGCTTCATATTAGCGTTATGAATATACATACGTATTTTAACCAACTATTTATTTTTCCCTTTGACATTCTTCTATTTTATATCACCCTATTTTAAGATTTAGTTTATAAGTCACCAGTCCTGAGTAACCATATTCAGATCTGCTTAACCATCTAGAGAGAGAGATGCTGGACTTTGAGATGTATGTAGTGACTGATAGGATGCTGGACCTCTCCTGTTTAGTAGTGGAAGAGAGTATTTTCAATTTTACAACGGAGAGCTGCCTCATACAATTGTTGATGTAATTAAACATCAACATGTAATTGTTGATGTAATTAAACATCAACATGTAATTGTTGATGTAAAGCAATTAAATATGGGCAGAAATATGAGAATGGAAGCTTAGCTACAATACAGTTGGGTCACACTAGTCCTTTACTGCCCTGATCTCAGATCTCATACTTTCATTTCCACCATGCAAGCAACATTTCCTAGGCTTCCTTACAAGCTGGCTTCTAGGTAGGTGTAGCCAATGAGAGACTCTGGAGGATTTTGGAGTGCTACAGCATGTGAGAAGCCAGGATAGTTCTATTTTTCTCATTTTCCAGGGAGCATCTAGGTAGCGGCTGTGTCTTCTCTACAGTTCCAATTCCTATAGCATTGGCTCTACCTCGGCATTCCTTCCTGACTTCCACCTGGCACCACCCAATATGAGCCCAGGTTCCTCAGATGGGCCCTTGGCTCTGCTAATGCTATCTCTTCTCTTTGTTCCACCAGTTCTAGTGTCAGAGAGAAATGAAAGTATTAGGAATATGGAGATCCTTGTCTCTGTGAACCACATTTATTCTGGGTCTCACGGCTTTTAATTTTAAAATCAGCCAAGAAGTGAGTACCTTGTGTTTCACACTGTGAGGCTAGAAAACAATAATCCAGTCTCTGTTAAAAGTCTGGCTAAAGGAGCATCACTCTTTTCTAAAATTTATAAAATACACTTTCATTCACACCGAGATTTTTAGTTCATGTAAGCACCAAAAGATGAGGAGAAACACGGGTATGGAGTACACCAGCATTTCAGACAATGTTATCTCAGATTATGTTGTTAGCACAGCCATTCATCACAGGAAATGTGTAAAAAAGAAATGAATAGCTACTTAGAATACATTAACATACATTTGTATTTCAAGAATCCAAAAACCAGCTTGCTACCACAAAGAGGCTATTCTACTACATTTACAATACACATTAAATATTTAGGTTGAGGAGAAGTAATTACAAGTTCTCAGTTTATCACACTCTATCAGATGCTTTTCATTTGATTATCAAAGAAATAATAAATGTTCTGAACATATCATAGAAAATTTAAAGTCCTGATTTACACCATAGAAATCATCATTAACATTATACCCCTAACATAAGCTAAAATATAGCTCATGAGGGTAGGAGCATTGTTGTTTTTGTTCAAAGCCATATCTTCAGCAACTAGTAGAAGGTGTAGCATATACTAGAAACATAAACATGGCTGCATGAATAAATATCTGAATGCAAGAGCTAATGAGTAGTAAATGCATGAAAAAGTTGAATAGGCAAGAAAAGCATCACTAACTTACATCTAAAATACTATTCTGAGACAAAGTATTAAGAGTGTATGCCTTGGGCAAATGACCTTAATAGCTATTTCTCAAGAGAAGACATAGAAATAGTCAACAGGTATATAAAGAAATCTTCAACATAACTAACAATCTGAGAAATGAAAATTAAACCACAATGAAATATCACCTCACACCTGTTATAATGGCTGCTATAAAAATATTAAAATGTATAAAAAATATAAAAGATGAATGTTGGTTTGTCCTCACCACAACTCACATTGAGACTTGGCCCTCAACGTGGCAATGTTGGGAGGTGGCGCCTTTAAGATGATTAAGTCTTTAAGAGGAATTAATATATTTTTCTGAAGACTGGCTTAATTCTAGCAGGAATAGATTAGTTCCCCCAAAATAGGTTGTTTTAAAGTCAGGTTGTATCTTGTGTTTTGCCCTTTTGTGAAAGCGCCTAGCTCCCCTTCTATTTCTCCGCTGTGTTTTGTTTGACTGAGCACGAAGCCCTTACCAGAAGCTACCAGATGCAGCTATCCAAGCTTAAACTTCCCAGCCTATAGTGTGAAGTCACTATCCTATCTCAATATAGGATAGTGCGCCAAATACACCTCTTTTGTTTATAAATTACCCAGTCTCAAGTATTCTGTTATAGCAACAGAAATGAACTACAACAGGTACACATAATTTTTATAACAAATTTAAAGCCCTTTACATTGTCTGTATAGTAGAAAGTCAGCGTGCATTTTTACCTCAATGTTTTGCTAGTGTTTTCTTTATTTCTTAGGGAATAAAGCCAAGTTTAGCAGGGGGATAAAGAAAAAGATTTTATTTCTGTCCAAAATTCTCACAATTGAAAAAAATTAATGCTAAATAACTGTGTGTTTTTAGTTCCAATTATATGGAAAAATTGTTTTTATTTTCTACCTCACTTTGATACATTACAAATACTATTTAAGATCAGAGCTATTGAGCAGCCATACCAATATTATTTTTTAAGATGTTATCAAAGGGCTTTTTGAGTAAATGCACAGTTCTATTTTGATAAATTAGAAAGCATTAAAGTACTCAAACATATTAACTTTCTTATTCACCTTTATAAGTTAATTGTCCATAAATTTCCTTAAAAGTAAGATTTCTTTTTTTTTTTCTTTTTTGAGATGGACTTTAGCTCTGTCACCCAGGCTAGAGTGCAGTGGCACGATCTTGGCTCACTGCAACCTCCACCTCCCGGGTTCAAGCGATTCTCCTGCTTCAGTCTCCTGAGTAGCTGGGAGTACAGGCCGTGCCACCATGCCCAGCTAATTTTGGTATTTTTAGTAGAGATGGGGTTTCGCCATGTTGGCCAGGCTGGTCACGAACTCCTGACCTCAGGTGGTACACCTGCCTTGGCCTCCCAAAGTGCTGGGATTACAGATCTGAGCCACCATGCCCTGCCTAAAAGTAAGATTTCAATATGCTGCACTGTATCATAGAATAAAAGCCATTAATATCTAAAAATTAACAACACATCATGTAACACAAAGTTTCCTTTTATTCCCCCCAAATGTATTGTTTTGAATATTTAAGTGTTACCACTGGGGCAATATTCTGAAACAAAATAAACAAGGCCCAGCCACCTCTATTTATACACTTAACAATTTCTTGATCTTCAATAACATTTTCTCAGAAATTTTCCTCTCCCAGTTATGACAAATTTTAAAAACCTAGAAAGACCTCAAAAATGATATCTTTTGAATAATAGTATATATATCACTGTTTAACAAGTAGCAAAATAATGTAAAATAAAGTTAGGATAATTCTGGATTCCCCATCAAGGATTATGCAGCAAAACAGTTACCAAAATGGCAGATGAATTGATCCAAATTAGCTACATTGAAAAAATATTTTTTCTGTTTCTTATTTTTTTCCTAATGCAAAAAAATGCATTGCTACAGATTGAATGTTTATGTCTCCCCAATATTCATATGTTGAAGTCCTAATCCCCAAATTGATGGACTTAAAGGTGAGGACTTGGGGAAGTAATTAGGGTTAGATTAGGTCATGAGAGTGGGTCCCTTATGATGGGATTAATGTCCTTATAAAAAGAGGAAGAAATGAGACATCAATCTGTCGTGCCCATGTTAGGATACAGCAAGAAGGCAGCCTTCTGCAAACCAGGAAGAAGGCCCTCACTACATACTAAACATGTCAGCACCTTGTTCTTGGACTGCCCTGCCTCTAAAACTGTAAGAAATAAATATTTGTTGTTTTAAGTCACCCAGTCAATGACATTTTGTTATAGCAGGCCAAGAAGTCTCAAGTATGAATTTTTATTGGAAAGAATTGAAACATACAAATACAAATCAGAAATTATAGCTTTAAAAAAAAGCTCTCACCCTCAGGAGATAAAATGGTTAAAATTAGCTGGTAAATTCTTCAGTGTTTCTTTCATGCATAAATATATGCATGCTTATTATATAAAGGGGATCATATTATACATGTTATTTTAAATGTAAGTACTGTCATTTAATTTATCATTACAAAATGACAGAATGTTAATAACATTTCTCTGTCACTTATTTAAGCCCTCTTCTGTTATTGAAAAATTGCATCTCTACCTTTTTCATAATTTTACATAAATATACATGTTTATAAATATTTATTCACAGTTGATTTCCCCCTTACAATTTCTTGAAACAGAATTGCTGGATGAGATGATGCCAATATGTGTAAACCATTTAATACATAGGCAAACTGTCTTACAAAAATGTCTTGCCTCTTTACATCCCAATCAGCGATGTTGGAGAACATATTTCTCCCCCTACTTTCTTCAGCACTGAGTATATTATTTAAATGTTGATATCAAAATCAAGTGGTGTTTATCCTAGGAATGCAAAGTTGGTTTATTCATAAACCAATCAATGTAATTCACCATATTAACAAATTTTAAAAACATATGATCACCTCAGATAGAGAAAGCATTTGAAAAAATCCCACATCTATTCATAATAAAAACTCTAAGCAAACTAAGAATCTCATAAAAGGTTCATATGAGACCATATATATGGCATTGCAACTAGAGATTAAAAACTGAATGACTTCCCCTTAAAATCAAAACTCAGACAAAAATATCAACTCTAACCACTTCTATTCAACATTTATCTGATGTTCTAAACAGTTCAAAATAGCAAGAATAATTAATAAATGCCATTCAGAGTAGATAGCAAATGCAAAACTGTCTTTATTTACAGACAATATGATTGTCTACATAGAAAATCCTATAGAATCTAAAAAGGAGACATTAAAACTAATTAGAAACTTTAGCAATTTTGTAGGATCAACATAAACACATTAGTCACATTTCTGTATACTAGTATTGAACAATTGCAAATCAAAATAAAAGTAATTGTACCATTTACAATAGCCTCAAAAAAAAAAAAAAGAGAAACACTTATGGATAAATGTAACAAAAGATGTGCCAGACCTGTGTACTGAAAACTTCAAAACACTGCTAAAAAAGAATGATGAAGAGCCCAAATAAATGAAGAAACATTTATAGATTGAAAGATACAATATTGTTAAGAGATCAGTTCTCCCCCAAGCAACAGAATAATCAAATGTAAAAACAAATGAACTTCAATCCTGAATTCACATTGTATATAACACATAATTTGAAAGGGATTCTTGACATAAATATTATAGTTTAAAGAAGAAAAACTTCCAGAATAAGATATAGGAGAAATATTTATGACCATTGGTATGGTAAAAATTCTTAAATCACGATATGAAAAACACGACACATACACAAAGTGGAAAGGCAAGCCACAAACCCAGAGAAATGTTTTTTTAAACACGTAACTTAATGTATATAAAAACCTTTCAATAATCAATGAAAACAACCCCTTTTTAAAAAATAAAAAAATCAAATAGGCACTCTGTCAAAAAGATGTACAGGTAACAAAAAAGCAAAGTGAGTAAGGAAGGGAGAGCAGGAGGGAAGCTGATCAGAGAGGTCACTGGGGACCAAGTAATGCAGGACTTGTTAGGCCATCCAAAGGCTTTCAAGTTTATTCTGAGAAATAGAAAAACTTTGGGCCAGGCGTGGTGGCTCACGCCTGTAATCCCAGCACTTTGGGAGGCTGACGCAGGCGGATCGCGAGGTCAGGAGTTTGAGACCAGCGTGACCAACATGGTGAAACCCCATTTCGACTAAAAATACAAAAATTAGCCAGGCGTGGTGGTGGGCACCTGTAATCCCAGCTACTCAGGAGGCTGAGGCAGGAGAATCACTTGAACTTAGGAGGCAGAGGTTGTGGTGAGCTGAGATCGTGCCACTACACTCCAGCCTGGGTGACAGAGCGAGACTTGGTCTCAAAAAAAAGAAAGAAAAACTTTGAATCATTGTAGTAGAGAGTGACAGACCTGAGGCAGATTTCTGCTTTGTTAGAAACAGATTACCCAGGGCAGGGGGAGGAGCAAGGGTGGAAGTAGGGAGAGTAGTTGGAATTAATGGAATCTCAGCATAAGTTCAGAAATCCCAGAGGGAGATGATAGTGTATCACATCAGGGTGAAAGATGACTGCACTTTGAATGTATTTAGAAGATCTGTGCAGATGGGCTGAATGTGGATTAATGTGGAATGTGGATAAGGTGAAAAGTCAAGATTAAAGACAAGATTTTGAGCCTGTGAAACTGAAAGCTGGAATTAGCATAAAAATGTGTTAATGACTAAGATCAAGGGTTTAGGAGGGAAGATCAGTTTCGTTTTGAACATCTGAAGTTTCAGATATTTATAGCCATTGAGCTGAATATGCCAAGTAAGCAGTTGGATATACAAGCCTGAAATTTGTGAAAGACTGGGTTAGTAAAATAAATATGTTAATCAATATCGTATTCATGTATTTAAAGGTGTAACTCTGAATGATATCCCCAAGATTGCAAAGAGTACGTCAGTGGTTTTCAACTGAAGGCAATTGTTTTTCCCCAGGGGACAGCTGGCAATGTCTGGAGACATTTTTGGTTGTCACAATCGGGGAATGAATTACTAGTGGCATCTAATAGGTAGAGGCTATTAGAGACCAGGGATACTGCTGAACATCCTACAATGCTCAGGATAGCCCCACATATAAAGAATTGTCTGACCCAAAATGTCAGTAGGGCCATGGTTTTGAAAACCTAGTTCAAAGGGTTTCTAAGAGAAGAGAACAGAACAAAAGCCTGAGCCCTCAGGTGCACCAATATTAAAGATGGTGGAGAGAAGGGGAGAAATTAACAATGGAGGTGAGGCAGGATGACCGGTGAGAAAGAATCACAACCAAGAGAATGTGGAATCCGTGTAGCCACGAGAAGAACTGTACCAAACAACGGGGAAAAATAAAGTGTCAAATGCTGCTGCTAGATCAAATAAAAAGATACCCAAGTAGCAACCACTGGGCTTAGCAATCAGAGGTCACTGGTGACATTAAACTAAGAAGTTTTGGTAGAGCAGTGTGAGGTGAAAGCGACTTCTGAATGTTTGGCAACATATGATACATTTTCTAATCTAGTTATTGCCAACTTTTGAATTCAAAATTAAACTAAAAATCACATATGGCTATAACCATGGCATAGTTAATCAACTACTTTTTGACATCCTAATCAAATAGGTCATTTTTTTTTTTTCTGAGATGGAGTTTCGCTCTTGTTGCCCAAGCTGGGGTTCAATGGTGCAATCTCAGCTCACGGCAACCTCCACTTCCCAGGTTCAAGCGATTCTCGTGCCTCAGCCTCCCAAGTAGCTGGGATTACAGGCATGTGCCACCATGCCTGGCTAATTTTGTATTTTTAGTAGAGACCAGGTTTTTCCATCTTGGTCAGGCTGGTCTCCAACTTCCGACCTCAGGTGATCTGCCCACCTTGGCCTCCCGAAGTGCTGGGATTACAGGTGTGAGCCACTGCGCCCGGCCTCAAATAGGTAATTTTAAGTGGGATGACTTTTCCCTGCTTTATTCATCCCATTCTCCAATTTGCAACTTGTTAAATCACCTGAAATGAAATTATTATCTACCCAGAGACCCAGGACTTTTTACTCAGATGAAGAATATTTTTCAAATAATTCTTTTGATACAAATTTTTTTCATCTTAAAACTTAAAAAAAGACAATCTCAAATAAAATTATACTACATTTTGAATAGATGAACATGACACTTTTTAACTATCAGGATTGTCCATTTTATATCCTTACTTTTAGTGGCTTAAATAAACCCCATTTTCTTTTATGGCAGTACATGTTCCTCACCTCTGTTCACAGAGTGTCTAATCTGTCTCTGATTTAATATGTCTCATAGTTTCTAATATATCTCTGTTTTAAAGTACTTCCTAAAAATTATATCCACACTATAGACTACAACTTGTCCATCTGGGAAGATGTTATCTAAATACATTTTATGATTATAAATTATCTTTTGGGACCTTTATACTAACCGTCTCTCATTGGTAAGAAACCATATTTGAGAAAAATGTGAGAAAGCTAGCATTTGATTTGATGGCATTAATCACTGATATAGAGACATGCTAATTATTGACTTTAGTAGAACTTTTAACACAAATACTTCAATGATTTTCTGAAGGGGAAAATGTTGGTTATGTATTTTCTGATTAAAAAAATAGCTGGGCACAGTGGCTCATAACTATAATCCCAGCACTTTGGGAGGCCAGGGCGGGCAGATCGCTTGAGATCAGGAGTTCGAGACTAGCCTGGCCAACATGGTGAAACCCCATCTCTACTAAAAAAAAATATGTACAAAAATTAGCCGGGCATGGTGGCATGTGCCTATAATCCCAGTTACTCAGGAGGCTGAGGCATAAGAATCACTTGAACCCAGGAGAAGGAGGTTGCAGTTAGCCGAGGTTGTTCCACTGCACTCCAGCCTGAGCGACAGAGTGAGACTCCATCTCAAAATAAATAAATTAATTAAAGTAAAAACTATTTTTTAAATTTAGGTAAAACTGTCTTTTGTCAGTTTCTAAATACATGTGTATCTTCATTGGACTCAGTGGGGACAAAAGTTTTACTTCACCAATTGCATATAATTTCCTTTTATCTCTCAATTTTGTCTTCAAATTGTATTTATTTATTTATTTATTTATTTATTGAGATGGAGTTTCACTCTTGCTGCCGAGGCTGGAGTGCAGTGGAGCGATCTCAGCTCACTGCAACCTCTGCCTCCCAGGTTCAAGCAATTCTCCTGTCTCAGCCTTCTGAGTAGCTGGGATTACAGGTGTCCACCACTACATTTGGCTAATTTTTGGTATGTTTAGTAGAGATGGGGTTTCACCATGTTGGCCAGGGTGGTCTCGAACTCTTGACCTCAGGTGATCCGAAATTGTATATTTATAATTCAAGTTTTTTTTTTCAAAATCAATGCCACAAACAGAATAAATGTTAGGAAAAAAACTTTTATTTTTCTTAATGAGAAAAACATAAGACATATTAACTTTTACTGATTTTATCTGTGTGATGCTTTCCTTAAGAAAGGCATCTGTTTTGGAAATAAACAGAATTAATTTTAACCCATAACCCTGAAACTTAATAATTATAGGAACTGGAGTTGATTCTTTTATTTATCTGTGTTGCAGTTTTCTCACATATAAAATGAGGAAAATACACCTATTTCATAGGGTTGGTAAAAAGGAAAATACTGAACTAATTTTAGGCTAAAAGTTTCATAAATTAGGTACACAAAATTAATACCTATTGATTTGGTTTGGCTCTGTGTCCCCATCCAAATCTCATCTCGAATTGTAATCCCCACGTGTCAAGGGAGGGACTTGGTGGGAGGTGATTGGATCATGGGGGCGGTTCCCCCATGCTATTCTCATGATAGTGAGTGAGTTCTCATGGGATCTGATGGTTTTCTAAGGGGCAGTCTCTCCTGCTCTTCTCTCTCTTTCCTGGCGCCATGTGAAGAAGGTCCTTGCTTCCCTTTCACCTTCCACCATGACTGTAAGTTTCCTGAGGCCTCCACAGCCATGCAGAACTGTGAGTCAATTAAACCTCTTTCTTTTATAAATGGGCCAGTCTCGGGTATTTCTTTAAAGCAGGGTGAAAATGGACTAATCCACCTACCGTTCACTTTTGAATGAGAAAACACAGCTTGGAAAGTAGAGGGTTTCTCTTTTCTGTTACTCAACTGAAGTATATGGCTGCTGCCACTGGATGGCAACCAAAGACACAGAAAGACTTGGAATGCCTGAGAAACAGCCGAAAGAGCTTCAGCATTTCAAAAAGAATTCTAAAACATCAGACTAAAAACAAAATGCATTCAGCAGGTAAAAATATATATAATTACAGTCTGTGAATTAAGGGGCAATTGTTTAACTAAAATATATTATCCTTCAACAAGTCATATTTTAATATGTTTTGAGAAAAAAAATACCTAAAGTAGTGATGGTCTCGTTCTTATTCTTCAGGACTAGCTCAGAGTATAATAAATTTTTAAATGTTCAGCTTCCAAGGTGTTTCTTTGATGGAACCTTCATTTGAAGAAAGGAGAGGTGAGGAAGAGTGGAAGTTTATTGTTTATAGTAGATTACTGAAGTGAGATTGCGAAGATTAAAAGTCACAAGCTTTGGAAATAGGTAGAATTAATTTTAACCTACATGCTTTAAACTTAAGAATGCACTCGGGTGGATTCGACTTATCAGTGCTGCAGTTTTCTCATACACAAAATGAGGAAGATATGCCTATTTCATGCGGTTGGTAAAAGGGACAAAATGAACTAATTTAGGCAAAGGTGCCAATTGTTAGGCTTGGCATATAGAAGACACAAAGCAAATGGTAACTATTACTTGTTCCGTGGTAAAAATGCTTAAGTTTTGTTTATATTTGACTGGATCAAAAGTGAAATGATCCACATATGATCTTTTACTTATTACATCTGTTTGATGCTGTCCTGAAGAATACCTTATAAATAAAAGGTTAGATTTGTTAGTGAGTATTGAAGTAAATCAGTACATCTTTTCTATAAAATGCAACAGCACCCAACTATTCTCAGTACAGCATACGCACTATCGTAAGTATAGCATGTGTTTTGTTGAGTTAACTTTTTAAGCACAGTTCTTTCAAACTGGAAGCCAGTGTTGGCCAAGAAAATGCAGCTTCAAAATGGCAACAGGATAAGGATACATTCTTATATGAGGCGGTGGCAGATCAAGCTGAACAACAAAGTCATCCCAACAATGACTATGGGAATGAAACCTTCACTCTGCCTTTATTAAGCTTGTGCACTTGTGCACAAGCACCTCAGCTTGTAGGCCACAGCAAGTCAGCTGGAGAGAAAAAGAAAAGGTTATACAGCCTCAAATAATAGAGAATGCTCTCTCCCACTTACCCATACTTCACTTTTCCTTCGCTTTTCTTCCTATACTCTTCTCTTGCAACTTCAAAAATGTGATTCTTGCTTTAAATGTGGGAATAGTAGATTATAGGGAGTGGGGGGCTACATGTGAACTAAGAATAAGAAAGCTTATATGTTTCTTTCATCAAGAAAAACGAAGTTATTATGTTTTTCCAACACTCATTCTACTTGTGGCGTTGACCTTGAACAAAGTTGAATTATAAACATAATACATTTGGAGGATAAAATTAAACAGTGAAATTATATGCAAGTGTTCAAATAAAAATTTTACTACAAAAGAAATGTTTGACTGATTTACTGTTGTTCAACCCCAGAGTTGAACTTTACTAGAAACATCCCTAAATAGCAATTATGATATTTTAACAAATCTCCACATTATGCATTGACTTCAAGTTTCCAAACAATCTGTTGGGGAAACAATAACAGATAATTGTTTCTGAAACAAGAAGCTTAAAGCTCATAGAAGGGTAGAGGTAAGAGAAACGTAAAAGAAAGCAAGAAAGGAAGGGAGAGTGAGGAAGAAGGAAGGAGAGAAATTTTTAAAAAAATATAATAAAAAGTTCAAAACTGGAAGAACATACAAGATAATGAATACATGAGGAATCTGGGGCAATTCTTTGAGAAATGTTCTTGTAAGGTAGGTGCTAAATGAGAAATAGGATATCTTTAAGATAGACAAGAGGGTAAAGAACATTCCTGACAAAGAGAAGGAGAAAGCTCAAAGTCATGGAGCTGGAAGGCAAATGATATATATAAGGAATTATAAAGTCATTCACTGCATAACAATGTTTTGGTCAACAAGGAACTGCTTATAGACAGTGGTCCCGTAAGATTACAATACAGCTGAAAAATTCCTATAGCCTAGTGACACCGTAGCCTTTATAACATCATAGTGCAATGTTACTCACATGTTTGGTGTTTGTGTGATGCTGGTATAAACAAACCTACTGTGCTGCCAGACAGATAGAAATATAACACATGCAATTATATACAGTATATGATACTGATAATAAACAGCTATGTTACCGGTTTATGTATTTACTAAACTATACATTTAACCTTTATTTTAGAGTATACTCCTTCTACTTATTTTTTTTTAAGTTAACTATAAAACCACCTCAGGCCGGTCCTTAAGGAGGTATTCCAGAAAAAGACATTGTTATCATAGGAGATGACAGAGTCTTGCATGTGACTTTCCCTGCAGACTTTCCCATGGGACAAGATGTGGAGGCAGAAGACACTGATATTGATCATTCTGACCCTGTAGGCCTAGGATAATATGTATGTTTGTGTCTTTGTTTTTAATTACAATTTTTTAAAGTAAAAAACAGCTAGGTGCAGTGCCTCACTCCTGTAATCCCAGCCCTTTGGGAGGTCGAGCCAGGCAGACCACTTGAGCCCAGGAGTTTGAGACCAGCCTGGGTAACATGGCGAAACTCTGCTTCTACAAAAAATACAAACATTAGCTCGTTGTGGTGGTATGTGCCTATTATCCCAGCTACTCAGGAGGCTGAGGTGGGAGGATCACCTGAGCCAGGGTGGCGGAGGTTGCAGTGAGCCAAGACCACGCCACTGCACTCCAGCCTGGGCAACAACATGAGACCCTGTTTCAAAACAAAAGTAAAAAAAAAGAAAAAAGAAAAATGTCTATAGACTAAGAATATAGAGAAAATATTTTTGTACAGCTCCACCATGTGTTTGTGTTTTAAGCTAAGTGTTATTACAAAAGACTCAAAAAGTTAAAAAATGTAAAAGTGTATAAGGTAAAAAAGTGATAGTGGGCTAATTTTAACTCATTATTGAAGAAAGAATTTGTTATAAATTTAGTATAGCCTAAGTGTGCAGTATTTATAATATCTACAGTAGTGTACAGTAATGTCCTAGACCTTCACATTCACTGGACTCACCCAGAGCAACTTCCAATCCTGCAAGCTCCATGCTATACAGGAATACAATTTTTTAGCTTTTATGCTGTATTTCTACTGTGCCTTTTCTATGTCTAGATACACAAATACTTAACATTATGTTACAATTGCCTACAGCATTCAGCGTAGTCACATGCTGCAAAGATTTGTAGCCTAGTAGCAATAGGCTTAGCCTAGGAGCATATAGTCTAGGTGTGTGGGAAGCTGTATCATCTAAGCTTGCATAGATACACTCTATAATATTCCACAATGGCAAAATCATCTTACAATGCATTTCTTAGAATTATCTTCATTATTTAGTGACGCATGACTGTAATTAGTTACGTGATGATTGAGAATAAAGTATACACAGCAAATGAAAATGGACAAGGGTCAAGGTTGGAGACACACAGGTAGATGCTAGACCTTGGAGGGCATTGGAAGTCAAGCACAGAAGCTTGAAGTTGATCTGGAAGGACACAGGGAGCCACCTGAGAATTTTAAGCAGAGTAGTTTAATAACTGTATTGATATTTGTGAACAACGACTGTATAAGTTATGCCAGGATGGAACAGAGAACTAAATGGGTGGCGAGGAGCCCAGAGACAGATGAGATTCCAGTCCCATACAGAAAGAATGGAGATGGAAGGAGGAGGAAAAGCCCTGGAAATTATTTGTCAGGACACGAAACTTATAACCATTGAATCTGAAAGTGAAGAAGATGGAGACCAACTCCAGAATCTTTGGTTTGAATACTCGGTTTCACTTTTGCTTGTATACTCCCTTCAACTGGCTACTCAGCTGAAACTTTTATAATAAAAACACTGCCTGAACTCCTGAAGACTTTGCTCTAGTTTGTCCTGCATGATGTTGAAAAGAGAACAAAAGTCTAAATTTGGCCACCTATTAAGTTTTTTTCACAGCCGAGGCACATTTTCTTCTTTTAAGAATTCTGAAAATCCTCTCTGAAAATTTTACTTATAGGAGTTTGTGGACTGTGCTATAAAGAGGTGTGTATTTGAAAGGATCCTTTTAGCCATCCCTAGAATTTGAAGAGCACTTAGACAAGTTTTATGAGGGTGAGCTTCCGGAAGTGCTGTGAGGGGCAGAGATGACCTGACTTTCTGAGGTGCTCAAGAAAGGGAGTCTATTGCGGTGCCAAGCATATCCTCTGAACTCCCGACAGCTAAACATATGCCACTGCAAGATGTCACTATGAAGAGGAAGTCATCTGACCATATTCTGAAACTGTTTTGAAGAAAATGGGATTTTAAGAAGTATTTTTAGGTAAAGAAAACTCAGAATGTTGAGGAAAAGAAAATAGCAAGAAGTGTAGGTTCAGGGATTAAATGAAAAAAAAATTGAGTTTTCAGGTTCCTATCTAAGGTCTGAACTTACTCAAAATCAAGTTCCATCTTTACATCAAGGACATTTTTTAATTTAAAATACAATAAATTTTGTATAGAGCCCGGAAATTTAAGAAATCTATTAACAACTTTGCAGCGCCTTCACGGAACATACTCTCATCTCTATATATTTATGTAATGAATCAACAGAATTAGTTCTGTAATTGGGCACTGCTATTTTATAATCTTCTGTCGTTTCCACATAGCATGGATTTACATGTTCAGGTGACTTCACATTAAATAGCTCTAACCAACCCATATAAGAAGATGAAGGAGTTAACTACATTTTGCTTCAGATAACACTGTCAAAGCATAACAGCATAACTAAGAACAGAAGCAGATAACTAACTTTTTCATACAACAATTACTAGTTCAAAAAAGGGAAAGAAATCAACAAAGAATACAAGAAAAAAGGATATAAGCAACAATTTTGTTCTAAATAACAAATTCCACTTTCATTGAATGCTACATAAGAACAGGGAGCATACCTCTTAAATGAAAATGACAAATAATAAACATGTCTGTATTCAATATTATCCAGCAAATGAAGCAATGTTGGTGGGGGAGGAGGAAGAAAGGAAATCTCTCAAACATGAGAAAGGAAAGGATTTGATTGTTTATAGGATAATAAATTATGCACAGTCGTTAGGGTTAAAGGTTAGCAGGAAGGGCTTTAAAAGCATTTTTATTGGGCGGTTACACATTATAAGGTTAAAGTAGGTGTATGCTGGCAGGAGCTAAAAGAGCTTTTGAAGGATTATGGAGAGAGATTTAATTATTTTCTGATGGTTGCATGATGACAGGCACTGGATTGAAATTTGAACAGTAAATTAGACTTCAACACTGTCTTATTACTCATGTGAGCCATACCACTGACATTTGAAAAATATTCATACTTACAGTGTACACAGTGACTGTGCTGTTTCTTGGATGAAAAAATACACTAGTCATTTTCATGCCCATTCATTCAGTTGCTCATCACAGGCACAGGTAATTTATTAGGGACTGGCCCTAGAGCATAACAATGGAAATAATATGAGCTCTAGCACTAGATTTCCAGTTTTTGCTCTGCGAGTTGCTGCTGATAGGATCGTGAGTTCCTGAAATAATGTCTCCAATCTTTAGTTTTTTATTTCTGGAAATAGCGACAATAATGACACCTCTTTAATAGAGTTGCTATGAGGAGATAATACAAAGTACTTAGCTGTGGCCAGTCTTCAAGTAAGTAGTAATGTTCTCTACTCTAATTAACTAGACATAATCCTAATATTGATGGATAGGCTGTCTATTCTGAACCTATAAGGATGTATAAACAAACAAAGCCACATTAACTTAATTTCCACCTTTATAATCACAGCCTGCAAAACCTAGACCTCAGGTCTCTAAAGAACCCTTGAAATGGGGTGTTTCTGAGAATCCCTAGAATGTCCCTCAGAAGTGTGCTTCTACTGAGGGAGGCACCAAGCTGCTGCACCCACAGTGCTGCTGCACCCACAATTGTGGTCTCACCCAGGGACCATCATCTCAGCTGTCTCGGGTCCAACATTGATGATCTTCCAGGTGCTGTCATGGATATATGAATGCCCAGACATCCAAAAACTTTCTGGTGGTCTGAGGCAACATGTGGAAGTACCCCTCATTCCCATATTTCTACTGACCAGATGCAATGGGGACAAAGATGGGAAAGAAATTTTAGTGGCAGACACAACGATGCACTTGAAATTGGACTCCTTTTGTACCCATGATGCTCATGGTGCCTGCTCTTTCTAACATATGGATGATTCTTCCCATAAGTAGAGTTCTAGCCACCTAAGCTCTCAGTTTCACTTAGCCAGATATAGCTGATTCTCACTTAGATGAAACCTGGGACACTCACTCATGGAGTAATCTAGTAAAAGAAACAGACATCTAAACAACTGATTAAAGTATGTCTTAGATAAATGCTATCACGGGACATACATCAAGTGTAAGGGATGCCAGAGAAAGAAATGATCAGTTGATCAAGTCTTATAAAGAAGTAACATTTACTTTTGATTTTGAAAGACTGGGAAGAGAAAACTCCAACTGAAATGCCTGCCCCAAACCATAGAGATATGAAAGGGCATTTTGTATGCCTGGATGTGTTTCCATGTGTTGGAAAGTGGAAAAAAGAGAAATATAGAGGTGCAGATAAAATGCACAGTGAAGGGATTTGTACACAAAAAAATTGCATTGTTGATTTTTAAAATAACAATCATCTACGTGGGGAATTAGTTTGCAAGGGAGGTAGCAGATCGATAGGTTAGGAATCTGTTATAAAAACCCAGAGGGGGGAAAAATGAGGCCCAAGTGCAGTAGAAATGGTGGTAAAATGGAGACACCAGTCCAAGAAATAGAGGAGTAATACAACTGCAATTATCACAAATATCACAAATATTATATAGACTAAAACACAGGTAAGAGTCTGGATTTTTCATAACTTTTTGTCATTAAACAAATGTAGATATAACTTCGCTTATGATGTTTTTAAACCTCTTCCGCTCATCTCTCATGATGACTCCTTTGCTCCCATCTCCTGACAATCTTTAAACTCTGTCCCATCCTCATATCATTCTGTTCTTTAACTAGAACTCCTTTCTCTCCTATGCGCTGGTGTTTTCTCTGTATGGGATACTCTCTCTTCTCTTACCCATTTCACCTAGCTAGCTCCTACTTACCCTGCAAGTCTCTGAAAATCACATTGTTAAATTAGGTTCCCTAGAAGTAGATGCTTGGTCAAGAGATTTATTGGGGGTAGTGCTCTCAGTAAAGAGGAGTGAGGGAGGCAAGATAAAGCAGGAGATAAAAGTTACGCAAAAAGGCGGTCTGGGCTGGAGTCAAGTCTCCTCTGATCCCACCAGGAAGCAATGAAACACAAATTGCAGCACAGAGTTGATTTCATCTTCAGGCTAGTAGGCCCATCTTCTGAACCTCAGTCATTGATTGATGACTAGGGTGTAGGGAGGGGGTGTGAGGAGCAGAGCATGGACTTTGGGTCAGGTGGCAATTCTGTTAAGAAGGCACTGTCACCATCATGTCCAGCAGTAGGGGGATGGGTGCGCTGTAGGTCAAGGGGAGAGTGGAGATGGGAATATCCACTATAATTCCTTACGGACTGATTTCCGGCTGCTTCTCCAATATACTCCTGTAGCATCCTGCCCTGCACCAGCCCATCCTTCACAGGCTATCACAGGTGCTATAATCTCCAAGGCAGCAGAAATTACTGCTATGTATTTTTAATGTGGTAGCCCAGAGCCTCACACACAGTAGGCACCCAATAAAGATCTGTTAATGATGAACAGAGAAAGCTAAAATCACATAGAAATTCTTCAGTAGGGAATTTCTTTTGAAGCAGCTTACACTCTTCAAGATGTCAAGTTATTTGTGCTCATTTGTATGCAGTTAAAAATCATCTGCTTCATGACGGGCAAGAGACAGAGTCTTGATATTCACATTTTTTTAGTAAGAATCCTCTGAACAGGTGTGATTTCTCTCTACACTGTACCTCCTGTAAATTGCTCTTCAGTTTATTTTGAATTAAAATTTAAACATTTGTTTACTTGGTGAAATCTTCAGGAAGCTGAACAGTTTGTAATCCTGGCTGTTACAAAACTTTTAGAGAGAAAAGCAATGCATTTGCAAGTAAAATGAACAGGAAATTGCTAATTAGGAATCCCAGAACAACAATGTGTTTTCCCAGGAATAGCATTAAGAACTTTTTAAGATAAGTAAATAATAAAAATAATAATAAAATTTGTTGGTGAATAGCTCCCAAAAGACACATATGAGAAAGAATGATAAATTATGTCAATATATAGACTAACGGATCAGGTTTGTGTATGCATCTTGAGGCTTTCTGTGTTGACTTGGATGGAGTCCCAAAGAGAAGCTGACTTGCATGTCTGCATGAATAAATTCCTAATTAGCTGCTTAGTCCTCAAGCTTTTACGTTCTACAAATAGCTTGATCTATCGGTCTGGACTAGGCAAGAACTTTTGGTCAAATAATATTTTTAAATTGTAGAACCAGATCATATTGAAACTATCACATTCAAAACATGGAGAAATCTTTAACCAAAATATCTGCACTCAAAATTGTATATAAAAATTCAACCTTCATTAGAGATGATATTTATTTCTAATTTATGGCTTTCAAATGAAATAATATTATCATTAATAAACCATGAATTTTCCTTCTAGATTTTTTTTCTGGAGATGCTAGACTAAGAACAGATATGACTGATACTTGCCTTATGTCTACTTTAGTTACTCAGCAGTCTATTATCATCAGTATTTAAAAATCCAAAAATAGCCATTATTATGCAAAACTCTCTATATTGTATTATGTATATTTGTATGAAAGAGCAGTGATTTTTAAAACGCTGTACCTCCTGAGCAATGTTACAGATCTGAATGTGGCTTAAATAATTAATTTCTATCGGTGTTACTAAATATCTAAGGAGGATGTGATCAATGCTTTTCTTCCAGAAATATGCAATACTTAAAATTCTGTCTGTGTTAAAGGCTTCATCCATCTGAAATGCAAAATTCATTATGTAGAAGGTGCTCTGTACATCAAGATGGAATCCCATTAGATACCGAATCTGCTCTAAAATAGTCAAACAAGAATCTCACATCATTTCTACAGTAAGATTAGTCATATCATGAAATCCAAACTTCCTTGCAATACAAATGTGTTCTTCCATATTTTTTTAATAGTCTAAAATCTTAGAAAAAAAATTACCCAAAAAAGTAATTGTGATGGCCAAAGGCAGTGGTCCCCAAACTTATGTGCTCATCAGAATCATCTGGAGAGCTCCTTAAAACATAGAATCTGGGACCCTACTCTCAGGGTTTCTTATTCACTAGAGGTCTGAGTTGGGGACCTGAGAATTTGGGGACCACACTTTGGAGACCACTGCACTTGAGGCTTGGGAAATCAGTAAGCATAAGTTCTTAAAAGTTTTTTCCTTGTCTCCTTCGGGAGTGTCGCATTGCATTTCTCCTTAATCTTATATAATGTAATTGGTATTTCTTTTAAATATCTTCCTTCTTCTCTAATAAATTAGGTGACATTGAAGGAAATACCTATATTCTTGACAAATTAATTAGATGAAATAAAAAAATTATAAGGGAAGAGTAGAGTTCTTATATCAAAACCACATATGGCAAACCAATATGTAAACTTCTCAAAATGAGCCCAAATGTATGATTATGTACTGACAATAACATTCCTGAATGTATGGATTTATATAAAGAATTTCAGATACAAAGTAACGATTTCTAGCCAATTTCCAAATGTCATCACATGCCGTTTCAGTATGTGGGATTAACTTAATTTTTTTTATTGTACCACTCTTAGGCTCTCTACATACTGTAGTATCAATGAATTTCTAAGATTATGACATGTTTTACATTAAAATACAGTAAATCATTCACTGATAAACTTCTGTGTTCTGATACGGAACTACAGGAACTACAATAAAATAAATAGGGAAGAAAAATTGTCACCACCAAAGATGAAGTTCTCTTCTTGTCCTTGTCTGCCTCCTGATCCAGGGTGTGCTATGAGAATCAGATTGGGCTCGGTTCCACTCACAAAGGTTGGCAAGCAGTGTTCGGTTAGTCCTAGTCAGTCCACTTCCACTCTTTAATCTCCAATCCACTGGTAGGACAGTGCAGTAACTACCCATATTCTTTCTGCTTTATGCAATTCATTTCTCAAATAATTATAAAACTGACATTGAAGAACTATTGAACAGATTTTTATTTGCTCTTATTTTATTTGACAATGTGTGCTTGTATTTTATTTGAAATGCACTGGCATTTCTATTGTTCTGAAGTAAGATATCATATCTTTCTGTATTTTGTAAAAATATATGATGATTCTATTATAACATTTTTATGAATCATTATATTTTTAATTTTTTCCTTTTTCGGAAAACAACTAAAAGGACTTGGTAAAAAAATTACGGAAGCACATAGAAATATAATCAATCAACTTTTCCTCCTACACATGTCCTTTAACCCTCTTCTTCTGTAGCATTTTCATATCACTAGCTGTAAGGCTATCTCCTTCTTTATAAAAATCAAAATTATATTCTTCATTTTAGTCTGCCATAACCATTTAATTATTTCCTTATTAATGGAGATTTTGGTTGTTCTACCTTGTGCTAGCATAAAATATGTGCAATTCATGCTCTTTTGTTTACATGGATGAAATAGATGATTCAAAGGTCATGTGTATTTGCAATATTGATACATGTTGCCCAGTTACCCTTCAAAGACGCAAGAATAGCTTCCCCTCTATTGGGATGTTGAAATACCTTTTTCTCTACCTGCTGGTCAATGCTATGAATTATCAAATTTAATGATCTTTGCAAATATAAGTGAAAAAATAGTTATTTGATTTGTATTTATTTGATTTTTAACATTGAGGGTGAGAATTTTGTTTCTTTGTTTAAAAGTCACTGTTATGTTCTGTAAATTATCTATTCATGCACTTTGCCTAATTTTCTATCAGATTTTTGGCATTTTCCTAATTCATTTGAGGAAGTATTCATTCATTTAGTGGCAGGGTGACCTTTTGTGAGAAAAGTTGTATACGCTTTATTCTCAGTGTGGTTATGTGTTTGTAGTTTCTTTATGGTATGCATTTCTCTGCAAAGAAGATTTATATTTTCCAGATAACACAAACATGACAGACTTTCATTCACTATGAATAATAAGTTTTTATTTTTTACAGGTATGTTTCTGGTTTTGTTCTCTTTTTTATTCTCCCTCTCATGTATACCACACAAAAATTGGCCAATTTGAAATAAGATGTTTGTTTTCCCTCAAACTTTATATTCACATTTACCCTTCATAAAGCATTCAAATTATATAAATCTTTGCTTGTGTGAAATAAGAAATATGCATATGCATACACACACACACACACACACACACACACACACACAAACACACAGTCTCCCCAGTCTTTGAACCAGAGCTCCTAAAGCGGCGACTGGGATAATTTTCAGGTCTAATATTTGGTCCTTGACCCCATTTCCTGACACATAGTGTCTAAGACCTTTGTAATTTCCTGAGTGATAGGAGCAAGCATCTAACACATTCCTCCTAAATCCTCTGGAGTTTCCTGGGTGATAGGAGCATCTTTTTTTCTAATGAGATAATTTCTGATGGCCTCTTGGATGGGGGCTGGTCACCAGAAAAACCAAACCATGATTAGAAGCTTGGAATTTTCAGGTTGACTTTCCATTCTCCAGAGAGGAGAGGGGCTGGGAATGGAGTTAATCAGTTGATGATGGATTAATACTCAATGATTGATTGATCATGTCTACATGATGAAGCCTGAATATAAATCCCAAAAGTAGGGTGTTCTGAGAGCTTCCAGGTTGCTGAACATATGAAAATGCTGGGAGGATGGCATGCCCAGAGAGGACCTGCAAGCTCCACATTCCTTCTTCCATTGCTTGCCCAGTGTATTTATTCCCTTTGGCTGTTCATGAATTGCATCCTTTATAATAAAAGAGTAAACACAGGTAAAGTGTTTCTCTGAGTCCTGTGAGCCATTCTAGCAAATGATAAAACCCAAGAAGGGACTCATGAGAATCTCCAATGTGTAGCCAAGTCATATGGAAGTTGTGCATAATCTGGGGACCTACTACTTGTGAGTGGCATCTAAAGTGGGGGGCATCTTGTGGGACTAAGCCCTTAACATGTGAGGTCTGTGGTAACTCAGGTTAGTGTGGTAATTCAGTTGAATTATACGACATACAGTTGGTGTTCAAAGAGAACTGGACAGTTGCTTGGTGTGGGAGAAACTCCCACACTTCTGGTCACAGAATTGTTCTGTGTTGAGTGTGAATACAGAGGAAAACAGATTCTCCCCACCCCCATCCCAGGTGGAAACCACCAATGACTTCTCAAAGCACATAGAATAAAATCCAAGCTTCTTCCCGGGCTTATTTGACCTGACACTTGCCCAAGCTACAGTCTCATTCCAGACAATCCTCCAGCATCATCTGCATCACCCTGAGCCACACACGCTGATTTCCCTTCTGTTCCTTAGACACATGAAGCATGATATTCTCTCTACTTGGAAAATTCAGATCTTTCCACATATTCAGCCTAAATGTGATTTCCCCAGAGAAGGTTTTCCTGGATACTCAATCTAACATGCCCTTAACCCAACTTCTATGGCATTAGCTTCATGAGAGCACAGGCTTGCCATCTCATTCCTCACCTAAAATACTACCTGTGATAATTAGTTTTATATGGCAACTTGGCTAAGCTGTAGTACCCAGTGGGTTTGGTCAAGTAGCAGTCTACACGTTGCTGTGAATGTATTTTTTAGATGTTATTAATACTTAAACCAGTAGACTTGGAGTAAAGCATCTTAGCCTCCATAATGTTGGTGGTCCTCATTCAATCAATTGAAAGCCTTAGGAGATACTAAGGTCCCCAGAAGAGGATGGAATTCTACCTTCAGACCACCTTTGGACTCAAGACTGCAACTTCTGGCAGGTTCCTTGCAGAATTTCCAGCCTAGTAGCATTCCCTGTAGATTTTGGACTTACCAGTCCCCACGATCACATAAGCCAATTCCTTAAAATAAGTTGCTTTCAGAGAGAGAAAGAGAGAGAGAAAGACTGGTTTTGTTTTTGTTTTCTGGACAGCAATGACTAATACACTACTATATGCAGTCACATAGTAAGCCCTCTGACTGCAGGTGTGATGTTTATGCTGTGGCTCTCTCTACCCTACAGAGCATGAGTACTTACCTCTGTAGAACTGTATTCTAATTTGAGACGCATGATTTCATATTAAATGGCAATGACTCAATTCCAAACCAATGTACCACACATGTTTTAGTAAATAGCAATACTTGTTATATTTAAATATACATTGCTTGTTATAAACATGATATTTTTATTTGGTACCAAATAATTTAACCGTATTTATTCTAAACTGTTGTTGGTTTAATGATCTAATATAACTAAAAAGGTCTAGATTCTGTCTAGAATAATCCAAAAATGAACAATATTTCACACATATAATTATACTTTTCATTTTTCTGAATATTTCATTTCTTCATGACTACTCTGAAATAAGAAAATATTTTTATTTCTTTATTTTCCTGAAGAAGTAATGCATGCGAATTATTTTTGTGTGTGTGTTTAGACAATCTACTTTCAGAGTTTGATCTTTAATCAGTTTTATACATAATTGCAGCCACACAAAAAATATTAATCATGTAAGCCAAAATGTGGCATTAATGTAAAAATAATTTCAAATCAAATTTTGTAGAAGTTTTTTCAATAATATCCAACAAATTTCCTTTGTTTGGGTTGAAAAATACATCAGAAAAGAAGGATTTGGATGGTTGGACAATAAAATGTGCTATCTGATGAGCTATTCTTATAAATTCAATTAGACTACACTGTAGTCTATTTGAAGAAAAATATATTATGAATAGGTGCCTGTTCTTTTCCAATCTCCCTTCTAGCATTTTACTTTAATATATAATAAATCATTCAACAGTGAATTTATATGCTATGATATGGAAACACTGGAACTAGACTAATAAACAATATTTTCCATTTTTGTAGTTTAGCAAACTTACATCCATTTAACTGAAAAGGGAATAGCTTTTCAGGTGTAACCTCAATATGAAAACGAAGGATGAATAAGAAACTGCTCTGGCTAAAGTAAGAACAGGCATCCTGGAGCCTTGAAGACTGCTGCTGTTTTGCAATTACACAATCTGGAAGTCACAAGTCTATAGAACTGTGATGAAATCTGTACTCCCAAAGAGATAACAACTTCTGTGCCAAACAGATGGGAAAAGGTCCTTTAGGTTTCCACTTCAGTGAACTTTTATCTTGCTATCTTTTATCTTTTTATCTTCCTCTATTCAACCTCTGGACGCGTGTAACAAGTTAAAAATAGTATCCTCATACTGTGTCAGCATGGCAAGAAACTGAGTAGACACATGGGAAAAGCGGATGTTTAACCTCATTTTTTCCTAGGGATTCTGTTTAAAATACCTATTTCCTTTGGGAACTCAGTGGATAAAGGGAGATGACTAGAATTGTAGCAGCGTTGAAATTGCCGTGTCACCCAAAACAATCTGTTGTGTGATACACTGAAATTTAGCCTGGCTTCAGAAATTTATTTCCAATCAACTGATAGTTCATTAAGATCAGCTCTAAGACTAACCAGTGAGTGAACATTCCCAAACCACTGGTTAGAAATAAGCATTTTACTTTTATCTCTATAGTGCTTTATCTTTGTATCTTAACTTTCAGTTCTCCCTTGAAAACACTGATATAGTGCATGGGTTCAAGTGACTATCACTCTCCAGTTTGGAGTATCTGATGAACTGCCCATTAAGACATAATTTCTCAGTTTTCAGATCCAACAAAATAACCATTTAAAGTATTGATATGGGAATATCTCCTATTCCCAAACCCAAATCCCTAATACTAATTTTTATTAACTCATAAAAGAAACTTCACTAGAGGCCACTAAACTCAGAGCATTTCACTCAAGAATGCATATGCCTTTGTCTTACAAATGGAAGTCTTCTAATCCAAGACAGAACCCATCCAATGAAGAGAAAATGTCAATACAATAGTTTCATTTCCATTGAAGTAAATGAGCATATTTTATTTAACAATAACATGATTTAACAGTTATTGACTATGTTATATCTAGGATTCTAAACTGTTCATGTGAATAACTCATTTAATTTTCAAATATTAGGTAGGTATTACTTTCACCTACTTTTTTCTTTTTTGAGATAAAGTCTCTCTCTGTCACCCAGGCTGGAGTGCAGTGGTGCAGTCTCGGCTCACTGCAACCTCCACCTCCCGGGTTCAAGCAATTTTCCTGCCTCAGCCACATAAGTAGCTGAGATTACAGGCATGTGCCACCACACACAGTTAATTTTGTATTTTTAGTAGAGACAGGGTTTCACCATGTTGGTCAGGCTGGTCTCGAACTCCTGACCTCGTGTTCTGCCCACCTCAGCCTCCCGAAGCGCTGGGATTACAGGCATGAGCCACCGCGCCCGGCCTTACCCACATTTTAAAGTTAAGAAAAGTGATGCACTTAGAGATTAATGAATATGTCTTAATTCACATCACTGGTAAGTGGTTAATCTTTATTGACAACCTTAGTAGCATGGCTCCTGAACCTGTTCCTAACCACTGAGCCTTATTGGCTTTATGAATGAATGGTTGCATTATAATGAATGAGAGAAGGCTTCTAATACTAAATAGTCACGACATGCCCATGAAGCTGAAATGAAAGAGAATAGTGAGAAGGAGAAAACATAATCTGAAAGTTTGTACACAAATGAAAGTAATGCAGTGTAGAGGCCACTCAACTCAGAGCATTTCACTCAAGAATGCATTTGCTCCCACTCGCTTTCTTGCTTCCAAGTCTGCTGATTAAAATTCCATCCAACTTGAAAGATTTTGTAAACTATTCCCACTTGTAAATATTTGTTCTGTGTTCTTCTCTTCTATATCCTAGTCTACATGAGAGATGGACTTATGTCTATTTTGTCCATCACTGTGTCCCTAGCATCTAGAACAGTGTTTGTGAAAGAGTAGACAGTGACAAAGTTATTTTTATTGTGTTACTATATTTTTGTATTTATGTATTACAGAATTTTAAGTGAATACAAATATACAGAAAATATAGTATAACACTCCGTTCCCATCAAACAGCTTCAATGATTACTCACTCAGAAAACTTCACTTCAAATATAATATGACCCTCTTTCTCCCACTCACTGAATTATTTTAAAGCATTCTCAGTCATTATCTCATCTCATCCATATTTTAAAGAATTTATTTTAATTGAATGAAAACTCATATCACATATTACCTCTTTCATTAAATACTGTTGAATCCTCTCAATCAAAAAAGAATTTTCCCCTATTTGAAAGTCTGTGGGATTGTACACTTCTTTTATTTCAAAACCTGTTTTGCTGTGAATGTGTTTTGTGAACATGTTTTCTACCAGTTTGAGATTCCAAGTCCCTGAAAGATTGGGAAAATATCTCATATAACTTTGCGTTCCATTCAAGGTCTATTGCAGTATCTTGAATTTGGAAACTAGTTTTCTGTCTTCTCTGCACCACTTCCAAGTACATGGAAAAGGGTGCTAAAATAGTACTCTTTCTGTTTCCATTTCAGCCAAGAACAAGGGACAATAGATGGCATACACCCCTCACTTTCAGTGAGGTGCTAGACATGAAAAGCAGATGACTGAAACCTTGTTTTCAGTCCCACAGTTTGACATCCACCTTAATTGAATAAAAGGATTGAAGTTGAAGAGAACAAAGCAGGGAACTTGTTTGAAGAAAGCTGATTGAACTGCTACGGCATTCCCTCATTCATTGGTCCTAGGTGAGAGAAGTGTTGAAGGATCCTTGGAGCTGGAAGGACTAAAAGGGCTGGTAGTTGGCCTATGCCTACGCAAATGGAAGGCAGCCCATTCTTGTAGCAGAAGTTGGCTGTCTAGTGGCAGAGTAAAGAGAGGCAGCTGCATTAGGTGTAGGCTGTACTTCCACCAAAAGTAGAAAAGAGAGGGAAGGTTTCTATGGGCTAGAATAGATGATATGGGAGAAAAGGAACCCACCAAAAGATCTCAGCAGAAAGAGGCCAAAACATTACCATCACATGGAGAAATAGAGGGGAGAGACATTGTCTTAAGCACACAAAAGCACTAGGGCATCAGCTGTTAATACCTGCCAGGCTAGAAAACATCAATGAGAGATCATAAAATTACCAGTCACAAAGAATGATTTCTTCTCTCACTTCTTCTTTCTCACTTTTGATCCATCATCTCCCCAGCTCGAAACCTGCCAACTACAAGCACAGGGGAGTCAGAAACATTGTTTGAAGGACGAGGAGAGTGCAAGGTTGGCACACGAACCTGAAAAGGTTCACATACACACCCTACTAGGGACTCTTAGACTGAAGCAGAACCTAACTGGACGAGGGGAAAAACGAAGAGTAAGAGAATTTCACACGTTTGATTATTAGGTTGGACTGGACATTTTCATTACTGAATTTACACGGTTTATGGAACTAACCCATAATGAAAGAGCCTTCAGGCACTAATAGTGAGCAAAAAAATTCTGACAGCTGGCCATGATTTTATTCTGGTGACAAAGTAAAAATGGCATTCCTAGAGGATTTAATGTTTCTACTCAGACCTTTCTGAGTCTGGCTTTCTGAATGTAATGATTACACACGCTTAACAAGAGACAACTGATTACCAAGCCAATACGTCATTAAAGAGAGATACGGAAGACCTGTCTCAGCTCAGAAGATGATATACCACGCAATTATTGCCGCATTCATAGAGCATTTTTAGAAAAGACCAAAATGTGTATATTGACCTGAGAATGATTAATATTTCCCTAAGCTTTAACCGTAGTTAGGAATGTCAGGACTTGGAGCCAAGCTGATAAAATGTGCATGTCCTTGCAAACATCTCCTGTATTACAGTTGGCCCTCTGGATCCACCAGTTCCAGATCAAGGATTCAACTGTGTTCAAGGATTCGACCAACCACGAATCAAAAATATTTGAAGAAAAAAATATATAAAAATAAAAAACAACACCAAGTTTTAAAAAACAGTATAACAACTATTTACACAGCATTTACATTGTATTAGGTACTATATTTAGTCTAGAGATGATTTAAAGTAAACAGGAGGATGTGCATCGGTTATACGCAAATACTACCCCATTTTATAGCTGGGACTTGAGCATCCTTGAGTTCTGGTACCTGAGAGAGGTCCTGGACACAATTCCCCATGGATACCAAGGGGTGACTATATTTGTTATAGACCCAAACCATGAGATAACTACTTAGGGACTATCAATGAAATAAAAATTACCTACCAAGAAAGTGTAATAGAGGAAGGCAGGGAGAGTACAACTGTGGCATAGGGATATTATACAGCCAAGAATCCTGCAAATTTATTTTCTGTTGATTTCAAACCATCAGCCATACCTGGATTTGTCTAATTGAACCTAGAATGTGTAATCTGCAATGTGATGAATTCTGTAGTCCCTTATATCTGAAACTGCAATTTTTATTTTTGTCACAAATGAGCACAAATGTTTCAGTTCTTCCCTTAATGAAGACTGCAAACTCAGACTTTTGACTTTGGGCAGGTCTTTGCACGTGGATCTACTCCTCATTCCAGTGCCTCATCTTTTTGATAGGAACAATCCCACCCAACATGTCTCTAACCCAAAACATTTCAGATTCATGGGGTTCTTTAGATTCCCATTTAACAAAAATGTCCATGAAAGTGCGTACCATGAGATGTACATGGTCTTAAAGTTGTCCGGGGGGGAGAAAAAATCAGCATCCAGAGTCAGCATAGATTGTAACTTGTATGATTCATCTCCCTTCATCTAATCTTCCTTTCAGGCATCAACTTCACTTTGGACCCACGTATTACCCATCAGAGCGTTATCACCAAGTCCAAAGTCCTAAATCTCTTAGTTCTCACTAATGCTTATAAAAATGTCATTCCCTCAGAGTCTTGTTATCTTCAAAGAATTACTCATTGATGTTCAATGATATTAATCATTCTTAGACTCTTAGATAATCCAGGAGATCTATTCCAAAAGAAACTGCAATAGAGAAGAATAAAGAAGATGTGTGACATATAAATGCAAAAAAAATGTATTATAGGTGTCACAGTGCATTTAGGGGTTAAAATGAAACACAAATGAGGGGATTCATACCCCTAAGATTCAAGACAAAAGTGAGAGTTTGGCAAAGCTGCATATACAGTTGCATGGAGAAAATGATTTAATTGAAAATTATTCAGTTAATTGTGGGCATTTCAAGCTCCATGGTAAATTGCTGAAGTGAGGAAGAAGTCTTCAAATCACACTTTTTTAAAGCAACCTCCAATTCTGAACCAAATATGATAGGCTATAGGTATGATAATGATAATTATTAGGAAGGTATAGACAAAGGATATGAGAAACTGATTGGATAGGTAGAATTTGCCAGGAAAAAAAAAAAAAAGAAATAGAAAACAAACTGGTGTTTAAGTCATAAAGAACATACTGCCTTTGCACAAGAAACATAGGAAAAGCAACCAGTTGTTACATTAATAAAATTCAGAAATTCAGACAATCCTGAGACCTGATCGTTTTTAAAATGAAGTTCAAAACTTTTGGAAACTAGGACAGATGTTAAATAGGAAAAATGTAATTGAATGCTGTAAGGTCAGGAAGAAAAAAGAAAGATTGAAATTGAAGTGGCTTTCCAGCTAGATAATGGGTAAAAGAAAAAAAAAAAATGAGGTTAACAAAATTATGGTCAGGAAAACTGTCATTGCCTGGGTGGAAAGAAAAGTGAGAATTGGTAGAGTACAAACTCTCAGAGATTTATAAAGTTTTCTATTTTATCTGATTTTAAAAACTCACACACAACCAGTTGAGGAAAAGGGTCAGCTTATCATAAAAGCTAGAAAAGAGAAAACTGGATTATGAAAGAAGCATTCAAGAACATTAACTTAATCAAGATGAAGTAGAAATAATGTGGCATATTAATTTTACCAGGGTGCTATGATATTGCAAAATATATATTTGGTCTTCTTCCCTGTTTCTTGGCATTTGCTAAAATCCTTGGAATCTCCAAAGTGCTTTTTGTATGCTAAAGTTGACTGACACTTCAGAAAGACAGAAGCATGATTAGAGGGTTGGGACTTTCAGCCCCTCCCACCAACCTCCAGGGAGGGGAGAGGGGCTGAAGGTCAAGTTGATCACCAATGGCCAATGGCAAAATTAATGTTGTCTCCATAATGAAGTCTCCATAAATATTCAAGAGGACAAGGTTGAAAGAGCTTCTGGATAGCTGAACACAAAGAAGTTCCTAGAGGGCAGCTGCCCAGAGAGGACACGGAAGCTCATCACCCCTTGCCCCATACCTTGCCCTAGGCATCTCTTCATCTGTAGCCTTTGTAATATCCTTGATAAAAAACTGGTAAACATAAGTGTTTCTCTGAATTCCATGAGCTGCTCCATCAGATTCATTGAACCCAAAGAGGGGGTTGTAGAAACCCCAACTTGAAGCCAGTTGGTCAGAAGTTCTGGAGGATGGGACTTGGAACTGGTCTCAGAAAGGCAGGGCAGTCTTGGGGACTGAGCTCCCAGCCTGTGGGATCTCCAGGTAGATAGTGTTGGAATTGAATTGGAGGACACTCATCTGGTTTTGGATGCCTGGTGTGTGGTGAAAAAAAACCCCACAATTTTGGTCACAGAAGTTCCGTGTTGATGATTGTTGCGGTGGTATAAAAGCAGAGGAAAAACATGGTTTGAGAGTTTTCTTCAAAAAGGTACTTAACAGATACTGGCTGGTTTAAGAGCCACTGTGGAAGTTAATTCCTGGAGACTGAGGGACAGTTACAGGATTATCTGTTAATCAAAAGGGAAAAGGAAGCCCTGGTAATTAAGGAGCTGTCACCTGAACTTCAATGCCCAGAAAGAAAAGAACGAATCATCAAACAATCAATTTGCAATCACAGAGAACTGAGAACAAAGACTAACATGCCTTTCAGAGAACAATGTTGTTTTGTAATGAAGAGACAGGAAGGGGAGATAAAAGAGACTGTAAGAGATACAGACTACATGGATTTCAATAATATTTTCTTCTTAAATCAGAAATTGTTTGAACTGTTGACCTCAGTGTTGCAGTAGAGTATATGATATGAATACAGTCTTCGAAATCATTTGAGTTAAATAGATTTTGTTTCAAAAATCAAACTCTTTTTACACTACAGATATTTGAGACATTTTCATCTACAATCACAAAGGAATTCCACCTCTTTTGATCAGCACATAGGTGATTTCACACAGTTTTACAGGACTGTCATGATATTAAAATAGTCTGTATGGCTCTCCTAGTCTTTGAAGAATGTCTGTGCACACAAATAATCATATCAATCACCTCTTTAAAAATGCCTGCAGGAGAAGAAATCTTGCCAAAATAATTGCTTCACTCTTATAATGAAGAATAGACTTAATCTTGGCCACCAATTTGACCTATTGATGTGTTTGGCTTAACTCCTCTAGAATGAAGCTGATGGGTATTATAACCTCCCATAAAACAGGAAAACACTCTATCATCCCCAAATGTAGTATACATTCACTTGTCCATTTCCTCAAAACTGAATGGCATTACTTACTTCAACTAACTGCAGGTCTCTGAAATGAATCTCACATGTGAGGATTGCTTAGAGCTTTTCACCACAGATCACTGCTATACTTCATTTTTTCTCAAGGAGAAAGTGGTTAATTTAAGATTGTAACAGTGATCAGGACTTGACTTTGTATAGAAACTCTCCTAGATAAATTCAGCAGTTCAATATTGAAGCATATGTATTAACTCTTTGACAAAACTATATCACAAAATTCCTAGGAAAATCTGAATTAGTAGAAATTAAATGTATAAATAGCACTTTTTACAACGTTAATTTTTACTTTTTTTTGAGAATTATAAAACATAAAAAACAATAATGGCCCATAATTCTTGTATCACTTTAACACCTGTTTTCATTTAAAATAAGTATGTACAATACAAATTAAAAAATAAAAGACCTCCCTGCCCCCTAGTACTTTGTCCTAAATTTATGCACATTAACAATTTTCTTGTAACTTTCCAGAAATACTCTATGCAGAACCAATATTAATATCTATTTTATTTTTTTGAAATCTGCTGGTAAAATATGTCCTATCCTGTTTCTAGTTAATTTTGTTTAATTATTTGACATCATTCCACAGTAGCAGATATAAATATGTATCAATTTGACTGCTATGTAACATTTCATGATACCATAATCAATCAACGAGAATTGATGGATACTTACATTTTACCATTGAGTTGGCATTGAGAAAAAAAAAATCTCATTCTAAATTTACATCAAGGGGATGGAACTGGAGGCCATTATGTTGAGTGAAATAAGCCAGGCACAGAAAGATAAACTTCACATATTCTCAATCATTTGTGGGAGCTAAAAATTAAAACAATTGAATTCATGGAGATGGAGAGTAGAAGGATGGTTACCAGAGGCTGGGTAGAGTAGTGGGAAGAGGGTAATGGGGATAATTAATAGGTATAAAATATAGTTAGACAGAATGAGTAAAATCTAGTATTAGATAGCACAACAGGATGACTACAGTCAACAATAATTTATTGTACATTTTAAAGTAACTAAAAGTATAATTGGAATGCTTATAACATAAAGAAATGATAAGTGCTTGAGTTGATGGGTACCTCATTTACCCTGATGTGATTATTACACATTGCATGCCTGTATCAAAATATCACATGTACCCCATATACACCTGCTATGTACACATAAAAATTAAAAATGAAAAAAAATAAAGAATTGACTGAGTCATGACTAAAATTAAAATTTTAAGTTAATTTTTTAAGTCAAAAGACACAGAATTTTCTCGTCGTCAAATAGAAAAGAGATAGAGTCCAATCAACTTACTTGGGGCATTAAAAGTGAAGTATTGGGGGAATTAAATAATGCTTCTGAAACCCTCAGTTCATGGCAACAGAATAATCAGGGCTGAAACATGCTCATTTTGGCAGTAGCCTTAGAGGTGGTAGGAGTGTGTGAGGCTCATATGCTGGCACTGAGAACCAAAGGGCACAGGAGTAGGTTGGGGACCCATGAGACAGAAATGGAAGAGAAAGATGTGCTCAAGAAAGGGAAAATGTCCATTAAGGTGATGAGGTTGGAAGAATTGTTTGAAGATAGTTAAAGACACAGTGAAGCTTGTTCACGAAAGACTGGAGTCTCTATGCACTTGGAAGTAGCTAATAGACAGGAGTCTGTGGTGGTACAGGAAAGGGAAGGCATTAGCTGGAAGCAAATGGGAATACTAAGAATCACACACTTCGCTAATCAGAAATGTGGACGGTTTTCATGGAGAGTCCTTGCTAACTCTGTGCTTTTTCAAATTCATAAACCACGAATGAGGTCTTTAAAAATATATTATGTAGAATAAAATATATTCATTGAGCTGAAAATACTATCACTCTAAAAGGTTTCCCCAAATCATTGATTTCTCCAACAGTATTTCCCATTACACAAACCCCAGACCAACTGGTCAAGAGAGGAATGGGATAAATTCAGATTAAGGTTCTTGCAGCTGTAGATTCAGATAATATAATTCAACATAATGTAATGTAGTATATTAAACATATTTATATGATATAATAAATTTTTATTAATCACTCTGGGTTTCTCATTAGTCTTTGTAAAAATATACAAAAAGTTCAATTCCAGTTTGAACAGTTTGAAAAAATACTATGTCAAACTAGAATTTAATTACTAGATCTAAGAAGCAGAAATGTTGACATGAATACACTAAGAACTCAAAGTATGAGAATGCTATCACTTCTCTCAGTAAAAGCAATAAAGAAATATTTGCAAAATTGTTACATTGCAACATCCAGGGTGCATAATGAAAAAAGAGCACTAGTCATATCAGCCAATTATTTTATTTAAATTTAAATACAGTTTTTGTCTTCAATTTTTTTTTCTGTGAAGTCTAAGTCTCTATGAGATATTCAGATATTCAGGATATTAGTAAAATAATAATTTAATATTTCAGGAATGTAGCTTTTAACTATAATGAAAATGATCACTCAGAAATATATAAGTGGCTTAGTTATATAAATTTCTATTAAAATTGATTATAGTATATGTTTATCATAGCAAAGTTAATTTGCTAAATAATGTTTTAAATGAACTCATCACTTTTGTGGTAACTAAACCACCTATCTGCATATAGAGGAGGTTTACTTGTAATTCATTGTATTAGTCCATTTTCATAGTGCTATGAAGAAATACCCAAGACTGGGTGATTTATAAAGGAAAGAAGTTTAATTGACTCATAGTTCAGCATGGCTAGAGAGGCCTCAGGAAACTTTTAATCATGGCATAAGGGGAAGCAAATACGTCCTTCTTCACATGGCAGCAGCAAAGAGAAGTATATGTGCACAGCAAAGGGGAAGCCCCGTATAAAACCATCAGATCTCGGGAGAATTAACTCACTATCCCAAGAACAGGATCGGGGAAACCATCCCCATGATTAAATGATCTCCTACCAGGTCCCTCCCAGGTCACCTGGGGATTACGGGAACCACAATTCGAGATGAGACTTGGGTGGGGACACAGCCAAACCATATCTGTCAGAAAGCTTAACACCCTATCTTTCATTTTGGAGACTGCTCAAAAATATATTTTAACACATTCAGATCCAAAGTATACTTTTTAATGGATTCAAATCCAAAATGTAAAATGTACAAATAAAAAATATATTTATTTTATAGTTTAACAGATTCAGATCCAAACACAAAACCTCATTATCCTACATTCTATAATAACCACCAGTATTGGCAAATCAAGAGACTTTTCCCCAACCAGTTTAATTGACCACAGAGGGAGAATTTATGACTTTCTCAAGCTCAGGAGATTGCTTGAAAGTACAATCAGTTATAGGAAATAAAGGAAAAGAAACTGTCAAAGAAATTCTAGATAGGCAGGAAAAAAAGTAAACATGGAATTTCACTTCTAAGTTTGAGAATAATTGACAACATATCAATGAACAATGCCTCAAACAGATATATATATATATATAAAAGTGCCCCCACTATTACATAGTCTCTCTCTCTCTTTCTCAATCTCTCTCTCTCTCTTTCTTGCATGCTCTCTTTCTATCAGACCATTGTAGGATGGACACATTAACATTGTTAGGACACATATCCATATACCAATGAATCTTTGAATAGGTATTCACATTTCACTGAATTTCCTCACTTTCTAATACTCATGAATTTAAACTAAAAAGAAATACAATATTTGGTAAACAACAGACAGACTGGATAAAAAATAAACGGTGTTTAATTCAAAAGTAGGATTGTTGGTAAGTCATAGATAGGTAAAAGAGAAGACTTTCAAAATACCACAGAATGCTATTATAGTTTTAAGATACCTAAAAGGATCAGGTTTTGTTGTTCTTTTCCTTGTTTTTTGACAAACTAAAGATAAGTATTTAATGTAGACTGTAAACTGTGTGACAAAGTTAAGACTGAATTAATCCCCTTAAGATTCAGAAAAAGAAAGCAAGGATGATGTAACTAGTAGGTTTTCACAGACCACATAAAATACCTTTTTACTATATCTTCTCCATTCCAGCAGGGAAGTCCATCTGCAGCAGCTAATTCATTAGCACAAAGCTGATCAGCTAGACCTCCATAGAATGACCTGTACAGTCGAAGGCTGTTGATAAATTCTCTAAATGAAAGAAGAAAGAAAACAATTAAAACCAAACATCCACAATAAAGGCCATCAAAAATGATATGTATTGTTATACATAATGTTTAGGATATAATTTTTATATTGTTATGCATAATGTTTAGAATATAATTTTTTACATTTTCTCTATTTGTTCTCATATATTTTAAATACTTTTCTAACCACCAAGATGAAAATACATTACTTTTTTTTTTTTTTCAAAAAAAAAGCTAGTATTTTAGTTTATTCTTGGAATAAAAAGGTTCACTGGGTATGAATCTTGTGTAACTTCACATGCAAGAAGTTGGGAATAGTATATACTGATGCATAAAGAACGACATCACTTCATTTAGCCTCCCTAAAAGTCCTCACTACCTGCTATCATCTAAGCCACCACGAGAGTACTAATAATTTTCTTTTCCCTGTGGAAAATGTCAGAGACTTACAACATGCCAAGTGATTGCTTACTGATGAAAAGTGTAGTAGGTTATTTTCCTATCTGGGTCTTCTTGGTATCTAAGAACATAAAGTAATGTCTTTACTAAATATGACCCAAAACCCAGACATGTAAGATATTTCAGAAGCATGAAAATAAAAGTTATTGGAAGGAATAATATTTAGTATATTAACTAAGATTTTTTCCTCCCACAATACTTTCCTTCCCCATATCAATTATCAGAGGAAAAATTCAACAACAAGCAGGTTTTTTGTTTTGTTTTAATTTAGAAACCAAAAACTTTTCAGTTTTAAAACCAAGGCTTTGGAGGACCAAGAACTTGAGTTTTAACATTTCAAGGCCAAGTCCTAAAGGCCTTCATTATGATTTTTTTTGACATAAACAATTGTTTTGGAAAAAGAAATGAAAAGCCCTAGGCTGATCATAGGAGATGCTCTCTAGACCAGAAGGAAGGGGCAGAAGAAGGAAATGTTGGAAGGAAAGTAAACTTTAGAAATTCATGGAATATGCAGTTAAAATGTAGCAATTATGAAATGTCACCCTCATTAAGACTAAAAATATAATGTGTTTAAAAATGAGATCAAAGAAGACAGGTGATTCTAAATTATGCCTGGAGTAACTAATTTTTTAAAAATGAAATCTCATTTTGTCAGCTCTGTTACTCAAGTTCATTAATTTTTAGTTCTCTCTCCTATTATTTTTTGTTTGTTTGTTTTAGAGATGATATCTTGCTATGCTGCCCAGGCTGGACACAAACCTATCGGTTTTTAAATAACTATTTGTGAATATTGCTGGAGTTGATTTGTAAAAAAGATAAATATTACTTTCAAATATGTAACATCAAAACTCAGAGAAAATCAGAAGTTTTTAGTATAAGTATTTGGTATTTAAACGAGTTTTTAGCAAAGATGGACCAGATAAGTGATAAAGTGGTTGCAAGAAGCACAATTCTGACTTAACTGTAACTTAGATTGATTACAACAAAGGCTTTATTCTCTTGATAGCACAGTAATTATATTACATATTTACTACTTTAAGTCCGTTTCCTCTGCCAGAAAATAAGTGCCTCAAAGACAGCTATGTCTTTACTAATTGTAATGCATGAACAAATATCAATTTATATGTTGCAGCTATTAAAACATAATTGAGGAAGCAGACTAATTCTTTTTTAGAAAGGTGGGATTTAATGAATGGCAGGATGTGTGACTCCTGTCCTAAATTTTATTCACAATAAATGATCACTTGTTCGGAATCAGAGTCTTCTAGGAATGAAGACCAGGCCCAAATTGATGGAATGTTGAGACTTTTAAATTGATGATGTAAAATTGTAAATATTTTTATGGACCCTAATTCAGTCTTGGTGGATAGCACAAGGTTCATTTCTCCCTTCAAAATCAATAGATCCTCATAGAGAAAGCTTTATGTCTTTCTTTTCCAGTCCTCTTTCCCACGGCTATACTGCCATTGCCTTAGTCCAAGCCTTTATCATCTTTCTCTGGACGTACTACACTAAGATTACATCCCTCCAATCTCTTCCCATTCTCAATGACAGTCACTTTCTAAAATTCAAATTTGATATTCCAGAGATTATGTTACTCACTTAAAGTCCTTCAAAGGCTTCTCTACAGCATTTTATCTAAGTTTCTTGGAAAGATGTGCAAGGTATCTTCTCACTTCAATTTGAACAACAACCCAAACCATACTTTAGGGTCCCACAAAAGTGAGGTTCTGTTTTCCAAACACACCGTCATACCTTTGCCTATATTTATTCTGAAAGGATTTAACCTAGAAGATTTCCAGTCATTCTATGAACCATCATCTATAAATTATTGGTCAAAAAGTAATAAATGCTACTGAGTACTAAGTTTTTTATTGGCACTAAGGATTCACAGGTAAGCAAGAGAGCACCTGCCTTCTAAGAACACACATTTTGGGGAAAACCTACAATGATAATACAGTGCTAATAGTGCCAAATTTTAGCGCACAGAGGAATCAGAAGATATTTACAAAACAAGGCAGTATTTCAGTGTTCCATGCAAACCAAACAAAAAGCCTGGATGAGTAAGGGTAAGAGGAAAGAAAATACGGGTAGTATGCAGTTTCACTAGAGGGGACTGTGCTTATGGGAATGAATTATGGTAAAATGGTAAGAAGAAACCATTTTATCATCAGTCTTATTGCTCATCATAAGACGTTTCTGTTTTATTCAAAAGGCAGTTGGAACCATTAAGTTTTCCAGCAAGCAGGTGTTATCATCATCATGGCAGCAACTTGGGAGTAGAAAAGCAGTGAGGTCACTTAGGTGGCTATAACCTGAGCAGGAGAAACCCTGAGGATGTGAGAAGGAGCCTGTCAGTGAACAGAAAAACAAGTGAAAGATTTGAAAGACATTAGGAATCCAGAATTGACAGGTTAAAGTAAGAGTGTTAAGATAACACACACAATTTCTAATTGTGTTTTCCCCCTGCTCATGTGAGGGGATGGTCATGTCATTCCCTGAGATAAGAAATAAAGGAAGGGAAATCTCACCTTCTCAGTGTCCTACACTATATTTATGATCATCCTTATCTCGCTTGATATTTTCATCTTTCCAAGGCACACATCACTTTCTAGCCACTTATGTAATATACGGATTAATCAGGCCTTATTGTTTCTTAACTGTCTCTACGGTCCAGAATAAAATATTCAGGCAGGCAGACATTTTGTTGTTTGCTTGTTTTGTTCACAGCCATAAATCATAGAGCAGTGGCTTTACACACAGTAGCCCCAATAAATAGTCATCAAATTAATACATGAGTGAAGACTAAGGAATTAATGGTTTCATTCTCAACATGTTCAGTTTGAGATTTCTTTGGAATGTCTAGATAGAGAAATCAAACAGAATGCTACTTTCAAATTTACTAGGTGTAAATCTCATCTGAGGATTTTACCAAAATGCAGATTCAGATTCAGTAGTTCCAGGGCAGGGCTCAAGACTGCACATTTCAAAGCAGCACTCATGTGATGTTGATGCTACTGGTTCAAGAACTGTGCACATCCTGGAAGTTTGCTGTTAAAGATGTAACCTTGGAACTTAGTGGACTGGACATGTGACGTGAGACCCACCACCCATACAGGTAGTGACTGAAATAATGGACATGGAGAAAATCTTTCAGGAAAGTAATATGCAGTAATAAAAAGCCAAAAAGAGCTGAAAGTGAAAAGAACGAAGGAAGAAAACTTCAAAGTTAAAGCACTATGAAAACTAAAGAATGAGTGAATTTGAAGGTAGATTCTTCACAGTACAAAATGCCATCCTGAGAGGTTAAATAAAATACTGAAAGTGTCCTTCATATGTGGTGACCATAATTATTATGTACTAAATTGTATCACCTCCTGCCACCACCACAAAAAAATTCATATGTTGAAATCCTAACTGTGTTTGGAGACAGGGCCTTTAAAGAAATAATCAGGGGCCAGGCGTGGTGGCTCACGCCTATAATCCCAGCACTTTGAGAGGCTGAGGCTGGAGGATTGCTTCAGCCTAGAAGTTGGAGACCAGCCTGGACAACATAGTGAGACCCTGTCTATACATACATACATATATACATACATACATACATACATACCCACACATAAAATTTTAAAAATTAAAAAAATAATTAGAATTAAATGAGTTCATATGGGTAGATGCTAATCCAATATGACTGGTGTCCTTATAAGAAGACGAAGAGATACCAGGGACACACAGGCACAGAGAAAAGGCCGCATGAAAACACCGGGTGAAGGCAGCCATCTGCAAGCCAAGGAGAGAAGCCTCTGCAGAAACCAAACCTGCCAACACCTTTATCTTGAACCTTTCAACCCCAGAACTATTGAGGAAATTCATTTGTGTTGTTTAAGCCACCCAGTCTGTGGTATTTTGTTATGACAGCCCTAGCAAACCCATATAGGAATTAAAACACTTGAAGTAAAGTAATGAACTTCACATTTGCTGTACAGTGAGCATTAGAAAGAGCATGGGAAACCATAAGTAGAGATTCCAAAAAAGAAAAATTAAAGATTTGTTCTTATGTATGCTCGTTTCAATGTGGAAGACAGTTGAAAATATTTGGGTATAAAAAGAAGGAGATAAGGTTTTGTGGTAATGAGCTTGTTTCTGGAGAGTCTATCTACCTTCTGGGCACACAGGCGCTTGGAAGTTGGCTTTGGTCATCGGACTTGTTTGGGGTTTGAAAAAATGTAGGCAGAATTTATGTATGCTCCTTCTAGGCTGAAGCTTTAAGAACTAATGAGGTTTTGCCAGCTTCTGTTTCCCTCTAGCACGATGACTGGCAATGTTTCAGAGGAAGGCTGCCCTGTCATTCTGAGTCCTAAAGCCCAGGCAAGTTAAGCAGTAATGGCTGCTGATCTGAAATGGCACAGGTTCTAAACAGAAACACAATGTTATTGTTCTCAACCAATGGTATGTTGGGGTAGTTTGCTATCACATCATAACTTAGTCTCTCACGGTTGCTACAATGATAGGAAAAGAAAACTAATAATTCATTAATCAGAAATTCTGCAAAAGAGAGAAGGAAAGGCTACTGAAAACAGTGGTTAGCTTTGAATTTTCTGAGGCTAAAATAAGGGAAGAAAGTCTGTGTTATTATTAAGATGGGTTTTGGTTTGTAAAGACAGAAATTTGGGGGGAGATCCTACTTTGGAACACTATATTCTGTGTTTGGCAGGGTTTAGGTGGCAGGAATCATGAGAAGTGTTGCAAAATGCAGTTGCACTGATAAATAGTAGAACCAGGGATCTACGGTAGGTATATTAAACAAAAATAATTGAGATGGTGGTAAAGGAGGGGATTGAAACACTAGTAGGCATAGTGAACTGGTCAAAAAGACTTACCGGCCAGGCGCAATGGCTCACACCTGTAATCCCAGCACTTTGGGAGGCCAATGTGGGCGAATCACCTGAGGTCAGGAGTTTGAGACCAGCCTGACCAACATGGAGAAACCCCGTCTTTACAAAAAATACAAAATTAGCCGGGCATGGTGGCGCAGGCCTGTAATCCCAGCTACTCGGGAGGCTGAGGCCGGGAGGCAGAGGTTGTGGTGAGCCAAGATGGCGCCATTGCACTCCAGCCTGGGCAGCAAGAGCGAAACTCCATCTCAAAAAAAAAAAAAAAAAAAAAAAGGACTTACCTACTACCACAGAGCAAATTAATGTTGGCCCTATTATCAGAATTCAAATCTCAGTTGCCAGCTCAATGCTCAAGCTAGCACACGACTACTTTTCCAGTTTTACGTGAAATATTTCAATGAACAAAATATTATATTCTTAGAAAGATTCTAAATTTAAGTTGCTGGGAGAGTGACTGCATCCATGCAATTATTTCTCTACTGTTATGAGAATATTTGCCGTTAAAATTAGGATCATAATAAATGCAGGGAGATGTTAACAGTCCAGTCCCATCTAATTATCCTTCAGGGACTGTGTTTCATATGTCAGTTGCTCATCTTGTGCTTCATCTATCTCTAGTACACAGAAATGAAATATAATTATTAAGAGTAACAGTTTGACCATATTTAAAAGAAAATAGAAAAATGTTGCTCATCTGAATATTTATTCAAAGCCTCTATGTCTGGACCAATAAAAATGGATAATTTGTCATCTGGGCTTGTAACAGTGTAGCATTTGTTCCCTGTGCCTCCATTTTCCAAGTTGAATGCAGAATCAACATTAGAAATGAGCCATACAGGCCAGGCATGGTGGGTCACGCCTGCAATCCCAGCACTTTGGGAGACCGAGGCAGACGGAATCAATTGAGGTCAGGAGTTTGAGATCAGCCTGGCCAACATGGCTAAACCCCGTTTCTACTAAAAATACAAAAATTAGCCGGGCTTGGTGGTGCATGCCTGTGATCCCAGCTACTTGGGAGGCTGAGGAGGAGAATTGCTTGAACCCAGGAGGCAGAGGTTGTAGTGAGCTGAGACTGTGCCACTGCACTCCAGCCTGGGCTATAGAGCAGCGAGACTCTGTCTCCAAAAAATACCACTTCCCTACTTTTAAAATACTAACCCATTTATATAAAATGTCTTTATTAAAAAGTCAAAAAATAACAGATGCAGGCAAAGATGTGGAGAAAAGGGAACACTTATACACTGTTGGTAGAAATATAAATCAACTTCTATGGAAAATGGTATGGAGATTTCTGAAAGAACTAAAAATAGAACTACCATTTGATCCAGCAATCCCACTATTGGGTATTTCCCAAAGGAAATCCCACTTGGTATTTGGAAATTCCACTATCCCAGCAATTCCACTATTTGGTATTTACCCAAAGGAAAATAAATCATTATATCAAAAGATACCTGTAGTCGTATGTTTATCGCAGCACTATTCACAGAAACAAAGACATGGAATCAACCTAATTGTCCATCAATAGGAGACTGGATAAAATGTGGTCTATATTATACACAATGGAATACTACTCAGCCATAAAAATGAATCAAATCATGTCTTTTACAGCAACATTGATGGAAGTGGAGGACATTATGTTAAGTGAAATTAATCAGAAACAAAGTCAAATATCACATGTTCTCACTTATAAGTGGGAGCTAAACAATGGGTACTCATGGACTTAGAGAGTGGAATAATAGACACTGGAGACTCAGGAAGGTGGGAGGTGGAAGTGGGGTGAGGTATGCAAAATGGGTACAATGTACACTATTTGGATGATGGTTACACTAAAAGCCCAGACTTCACTACTACACAACATATCCATGTAATACAACTGCACTTTTGCCCACTATATCTATAAAAAATTAAAAAAATAAGAAACAATAAAATGTCTTGCCATGGCGTAAGAGCGCTCGACTCTTTCCCCTAAACCTCATTCCATGACAGTCCCCCTTCTCTCTATTCACACACACCAGCCAAAGCCCACACACCTATACACGCATTGCATAAAACAACTCAATATTTACTGAACAAGATTCCAGGCTTAGAACATCCAGTTTCCTCCACCCAGAATTGTCTTCTCCTCCTACTTTACTCTCAACTTTCTACCCATCCTTCAAGATCCTGCTTAAACCTCACATCCTCTCCAACTCCTTCCCTAATCAACTGGTATAGCAACTGGTTCATCCTCATTTCTCATCTAGCCCCTGCCTATGGTTGTATTATAGCCCTTGCTCTCTAGTATTATAATCCCCCTGTATGCCAATCTACCTTCCCAATTAATGAATGTGCTTCCTAAAGACAAAAGCCAAGTCTTCCTCATGTCTCCAGGATTTGGACCACAGCTTGGTACCCAACAGGCACTTAACAAATTCTTTTTGAATTAGCCCCAGACTAGTTTTTAACAACTTCTAGAATTAGAAGCTCCTACAAGGAATATGTGTTACACAATGATAGTGATAATTTAAAGTTCTTTAAGTGCACAGGTGGCTTGGGAAACTTTAAATTAGGGGACCTATTCCTAGATTCTGGCAAAATATCAGAGAGACCTTTCTGGTGTGTTGCATTAAAAAATAGAAGGAATCTCTAAGGTAGGACAACAACTGAGCCAGACTCTACTAAAGAGGCTCAAGACAGCTCCTATTTATATGTAATGTTAAAATTAATATGTAGTGACACATTAATATTTAGTTGCACTGCTGTGTAAGATAGCTATCATAATTAATACATCACAGATATGCTGCGTTATGAAGACAGAGATAGAAAGAGCCTTAGAGATCATCTGTTCAAACAGCTCCTGTCCTATCTATACATTGTCATCACCAAGGAAACATTTTAAACTGTACACCTGGAGTTCTCCCTCAAACAATCAGATTTATTGGTCCGGGATGAGAACTGAGCATTTGGGTTTTCTGCAAGCTTCCTGAAGGATCCTAATGTGCAACCATGTTTGAGAACCAGTGACTTAGTCCAACCCTCTTATAAATAACAAAAGTGGAAATGAGAGAAATAAAAAGACTCATGAGAAGTCACTAAATTATCAGTTAGTTAGGCATTTAGTTGATACAGACTTCAACATCTTGTTTAATTAATTAACTGAAAATCTCATTGCTTAGCAATAACTGGCTGCCAGTGGATATTTGATTAATCAAAGTTGAATAAATCTTTAGATAGAAGAGTATTTCCACCTGTTTCCAAACATTTATGGAAATTATCACATTCTAAAAACACACTCATTAGTAGATTGTTAGATTAGAAAAAAAAAAACCAGATACATCGCTACAATGACAAAAAGCTACAATGAGAATGCAATATGTTCAGACAGGAGTTATCTACACGTTTTGACCAGTCTAAAATGTCTGGAGCAGGAAGCAGGCAGTGGGGTAAATTCTAATCACTGGCTAATGCCCAGCTTTGTACACTGTGCAACAGAGTAAAGTAGAAAAAGGCTGTAGCACAATTGCTCATTCATAGCCTGCAGCCTTGTTTGCCCTGAGCTTACTGAAGGCAGGGGAGAAACATGGACTAGCATAGTTATTGCTTCATTGCTTCCCATGCCCTTGAGGCCAACAGTGCCAGAAAGGTCTCCTGATACATCACGTGGTACAAAATATATATAAAGGGGAATGCAACCCACCCTGAAGTAGTTGTTTCTGAATCTGTTGACAAAGGAATGCCAGTTACTACTGTTAAATTGAGTAACACTTCCAACTGGCTATACTGTTATAATTGACTTTAATCATGTTTAATTATAAAAGTAATATATCTTTTAGTAAGGTGTAAAATAATAAAAAGGTGCATGACTAACCAGTTAATTTCTGTCCTTCCATAGTCTTTCCATCCCTCCCACCTGAAGTAACCAATATAACAGATTGGTGTTTATCTTATTCTTCAGCTTTTGCTATGTGCAAACTAACAAGCAGCTAAAGACAGACAAACAGACAGACCAACATAGAAAGATAGAGAAGGATATAGAGATGGTTTGGTTTCACAAAATCTGTACCAAGCTATACACATATATGAAATGGGATCTTTCTCACATGACAGTATATGATGAAGCCCTTTCAGGTTAATAAATAGAGTCTTATTTTTAATTAGCTGTATAATATTCCATAAACTGGATATAGCAACATTAGCATAGTCTATGAAAATATTTCATTAAGTAAATTTATATTTTAATTTATAAGGCTGACATATAGTTTCAAACTTTGTTCATCTTTTAGGAAGCTGTTTGCCTTAAGGCCTATGGCTCTAATCTACATTTGACCTTGCACTTCATTTAATTAGACCTTGCTAGAAACAAAACTATGTTCGAAAGGCATACCTCTCAATCCTATGTCCTCATCTCACAGGAACTTGTTTCATTTTAAACATTTATAAATTGTCATATATTGCACCCCTCTTTTTTTCCATTGAATACAACACAGAAGAGACTATTTCTAATTTTGACCAAAGCTAATTATCTAGAAAAGTATCCAAGAAGGATCTTATTTTCAAATGGAGATTTTCTTTCTGAAATGTCTCAGACTGCTTGTTTCTCTACTTAATGACATATATTGATTTTTTTTTACCCCTAAAGTCAGTCCACACATAATACAGAACCCAAATTAAAAGCAATGCCTAGCACACTGTTTGAAAATATCTGTAGAACAAAGGTCAAATGTGCAGTTTGCTAGTTAATGGCCTGAGGCAACGTGAAGGTTAATGTGGCACTAATGAGCAGGCTCAACCCTGTAGAGATGTCTGACCACAGCTGTCAAACAGTAGACGTTTAAAATGTCAGTCTCCTGCTCAGCAGAGGAAATATATAATTACAGGTTTCTAGATAAGAACTCTTTTCTCTTGCTGTTCTGAATCTATATTTAATCATTTAACGTTATTCTCACCTGTCATTCTATTTGACAAAATATTTAGAGAAGTCTTTAGAATACAAAAATTAGATTTTCATTCTAATAGAATAGAAAGAGCAAACACCACTCTCATTGCAAATGCTTGAAAGTAATTAAACTTGTATAGTCGGATGGAGAATGGAAGTCTCGTTTCTTGGCCCATTCTGGGAAGAGAGGGTGAACACATCACTGAGAAGCAATGCAATATATGGCACGTTTATCATAAATGAAAATGTGTTTCAAGCACATGACATTCATATTTGATTCAAAAGAAAAAAAATTTTTTTTCCAAAAGAGCAAGTTGTTAAGTCTGCTCTCTGAACCCCACCTGAACTCATTGCTCATTACAGAAACTGTGACGTAAAGATAGGCACCTTTCTCAAAGAGACAGATTTTTTTTTCCCCTAAGTCATTCCAGGTTTTCCCCTCCACATAGGAAGTCATCTCCCTCACATGACATGATTCCCCTTTATTAGAGGATTTACTGTGATTTCAAAACAAAACTAAAGGGTTGGTAGGTTGGGGAGCAACAGGGAAAGTAATAGGAAAGAGATGGAAAGGAGCTCAGAGAGTGGGCTCCTTAGAGACCCTTTGCAGAAAGTTCTTTTCAAACAGGTGTTTCATGTTTAGCACTCTCTTGTAATTTGATTCTAGCCTTGAGCTGGAAATTCATAGCCATCTATGCAATTAGGATAGATGCCTCTATTCCTCACTTTTCAAAGACCTTCCAAACCCAACACATTACCACTTAATGTCCCCATAAAAAAACACCCTTTCTGAAAGCATCCTCCTCTACAAAGAGTGATTTAAACCTGTTATCAAAACTGGGTTTTCAAAATTAGTTCTAACATCGTTTTCCCCTGTTGTAAAAATGTGCCTTAAAAAAACACTACCTCTGTTCTCCATTAAAAAGGACTTTAAACAAGGACTTCAACCCATTAATGAAAATAAACACTCGACCAAGTGTTCAAGATTTAAAACCAGTCAGATAATACTAGGGAAATTGGTCATCTATCACAAAAGAGATGTGATACAGTGTCTACCTCTTATAATTTTTTGGTCACTTTAATTAAAATATGCAATTAATTGTTCAGTCTACTAGTTTAAAGAAACATGGTACTAATTTTCCATTTTCAAATCTAATGATATTAATACATGCTCTTCACACAATCATTATTGAGTACCTGTTTGAGATTCAGTATTTTAGGTCAAATCTTGAATATTCCCCTCTTTGGCAATAAGATATTTTCTGTGGCTGCTAACATTTTAACAATAAACTTTGTGACTTACGGAACAAGCATATAATCTAGATATTATTAACCTCTCTCAGCATTAGCAGAACTTTAATAAAATACTTGCCCTTTAATAATCTGCCAATGAAAAGCCTTCTTTATTCTTCCTTCTTTTATCTTTTGCATTTTGCAATTACAATCAGATATTCCTGTTTACCTCCACCCACAAATTTATCTGACTAATGGCTGGTATATACTTAGTACAAATTGTTCATGCTTGCATTTTCAGATCCTCCATATCTTTCATTCCAAATACATGTGTCCCTGAACTCTGTTATAAAGATAGGCATTAGCACTAGGAAATCTATAAATAGCAATGCTCAGATAAAATAAGCTATTTTAGTCTTCAATTTTATTCCTATTACTCTGGTAATTTTCATTTTGAAAAATATTGCTGTGGAATGTTACATGTCACCTAGGTATCCTTTTATTCCCAGTTTTTCTGATGGGTGGCCTAGAATATTACTGACCAGGAATAATTAATGTATAGTTACCTTTACTTAATTATGCCATCCAAAATATGTTTATGTGATAAGGATTAAGGTTATGCATCCTTCCATTATGTTAATCCATATATGTGTTTGTTTATATAAGGCCTAACTTAAATTGGAAAATGTAGACAAACCCAATACATTGAAGACTATAAATCCTTTGGTTTTACTCAGTTTACAAGATCCCAAAGTTAGTGTTCCTTATATAACAAGAATCTTGCTGAAAGAGGGTGAAACCAGTAGATCAAAAAGAGAGCCTCAGACTCCTTGACTTCAAAAGTCATCAAACCAGAATGAATCACATTTCTGAGAAGGAAGCTTAATTTAAAAGTTGAGAGCTCTACAAATATGAGCCTAAACAAAAACAAAAAGAGATACCTTGAAACTTCCTTCATATTCTCATTTGCTGCACCAAGCAAAAGAAGCTACACATGATTCTACAGATCATGGTGGAGCTGTGTGCCCTGGAAATGGTTAATCTGATTTGTGTTTTGGACTGAAGATGAAAAAGGGAAAGGAAGTGTCTCTCTATCACATGTGTAACCTACTCTAGAGACACAATTTTTTCTACTAGTTCGAAGACAATTGTGGTGGATCTGGCAGCTTTGGCATTTCCATTCCATGCCATTGGATACAAATATGAGTATTCCTTGGTGCTTCCTGCTTCCCATTTTCCCCTATTATACATATGTATCCTTTCTACATTTTAAATGCCGTTGATAGATTTTAAATGTTGAAAAGGTTCTTTACCATGAAAAACAAAGTAGAAGATAATGCTTGATACTCTTGCTATAGATGCTATAGATGAAGGACCCATCCTGTTTCTAAATGCAATTAATTTGTAAGAGACAAACTTCAATTATCTTAAATTATGCCCCCACAGATTCTGCCAAAAATTCTGAAATAATTTTATACACTCCTATAAAATCATCAATTTCATCGTAATTTGAACTTGAATCCTCTTCACCTCTTCTAGAAGTTCAGTAAAAAAAATTGTAACAACAGGAGCTGAACTTGAGGTTCTTTCCAACTCTGTAGACCTTTACTGACTTTCCAAAGGAAAAGGGGTAGAAGATTCACTTGTTGGGAGAAAAGCAAAAAGAAAACATACTCTTAGATATATTAGATAAGGATAATTTATTCACAGTTTGGTTTTCTTGGTGGAAAAGATGTTTTCAGCCATATAAGTGAGATAGGCCCACGGTAATAATTACATACATTACTAAAAGCTTCTAGCTCTTCGGCAAAGCGCCTACATAGAAACAGAAGGTTTTTGGATGACCAGTTTGAAAACTGTCCAATTTCTAGCCATGTCTATGGCTATAAAATTATACTTATTATTCTTTCTGTAGTTAGAAATGTGGAGAGATTTATTTCCACACACACTAACCTAAGGTTGACAGCAAATATCATAATGCAACTTAAGGATGTAAGCATTATGAAACACCAATGGAGCCTGAAGAGTTTGAATAAATGTCATGCTCCCCGAATTAAGCCTATCCTCATCTAAGAAAGCAAACTAGGGGAGTTCCAATTGCAGCCACTGGATATGATAGTTGCATACGTTTTCTATAATTTCCAGTAATTGTTACCCTCAAAACAAAAAGTGGGCATCTGTTGAATACCAAACATATGGGCACGTAGCCACATCCAAGACCAACTGCAATGTCAACTTCTAGTTCGTGCCAAATAGTTGAACCTGCCTCTTCTTTCAGGACTAGTGTGCATAATATAATTTTCTACTATGTGGATTTCATTTAAGATGATTCATGAAATGGCCATTAATTTTTTCATGAACATCTAGAAAGTAAGAGCATTTTTAAAACATTTTCTGTTTTTAATATTAGTTTTAGGTGGAGCAAAGTACTTTTCAATGCAACAAAATTCTGCATGGATTTGTCTGTGAACTTTCTTTTTCTGGGAACATTCATGGGATTCTCAGTGGGATACATGATCCCCAAAGGTTAAGAACCACTAGCCTGAACTTTTGCCATATGTTTGCTCTGCCTTCTGGCATTTGCTTTTCCTGTGCGCCTGTAGTTTGACCCCCTGCAGGTCCTGATCTTCATTATTCATGTAGGTCTTGACTCTGGCCTGCCTTGTAGCTCATGAGCTCATGTTCCCTCCATACCTGCTCTGGCCTCCTATCCAAAGCTTTGTCTTGGCCTGCCCTGCTCTGGAAGCCCTCAGTACCACCACCTAACAAGCACTGTTTTACATTAAGCAGATTTTTTTTCATTGAAAACATGACCTTTATTTTCACAAGTTAAGTTTACAGGTAATAAATAATGATGGCACCTCAAAGACGCACTAACTTTCACTTACGAGGAAATAGATTGTAAACTGCTTTCTCTGCTACTATAAATGATATTAAATTTTTCTGAAAGAATCGACTATTTTTTCAGACCTATGAATATTTTCATCCACTGAATATTTGTATATACAATTCATCATTAAGTCCAGTATATCTCAATACTGATTTACCATCTAAACAAACATATATACTCAGTGTGTAATATCAAGAATTTTTAAATTTAACTTTGGATTCATTAATAAAGTGTTGTATTAGATAAGATTTGACTATGTAACTATAAGCTCTATGTTTTTTTATTATAAACTCTATGCATTTTAAACTAACTGATGCCATTTAATATGAATCTATCTACCTTAGCAATAATCTTAAATAACATTAAGTGTTCTTCACTGAATAAACATTTAAAATTTTTTCCCACGTTTAATTATTTTGAACACTTCCCTGTGTTTTTCTGTAATGTACAGGATATTAATTTACTTTAGTTGACAGTGACATTCTGAATGAGAATCATGCCCTGCCTCATTTCTTTCATTAAACTGCAATTTCAAGTGTCCTCTTTGCTTTCTGTTCTTAATAAATAAAACTGTTAATGTTCCAAGTGATAAAATTCTCACTCAAATCACGATTTAATAAATGCATTAGAATGAACTGGAAATGTCTAATGATATAATATTTCAATTAAGTTCTGAAGACAAAATTGAAAAAAACTCAAAATTTATATTTTGTTTCAAAAAAATCCAATATTTCTAAAAATTCTGCATTCCCCACCTTGACATCAAAATCCTGTCTGATAGTAAAAATATCTTATTTTTACTAAGCACCTAGGACACTCCCTATTATGCAAATACACACTCATGCATGCAGCCAATCCCCTTAATCATGCATTCTGAAATGAGAGGCCTGGCTAATTGGAATGCTTGCTGGAGAACAGATGGGGCACTGGTGTTGAGACTCCATCTTAATTTATTGTCCTGGGGTTTTCCTAATTACCTACTTAATTGGCACAGCCACACCACTTTGAAATAATAATGTACAGCTAATTATCACCGATTTAAGCTTGCTAATAGCTTATTCTTACCAGCTAACTTCAAGAAATCAAGCAGAGAGCAGGAACTGCCACAGGGAAATCACTCTGCCTGGCCTGCTTTAGACAACTATATGAGCGCAATGTCCTTTACAGCTGTGTTGATTTGGTCTCTGCTCAAAAAGGGAAAATTGTGATGCTTTGCTGGCTGTTTAAAGGAGCAGTAGCTCTTCCTTACTTTGCTCAACTTTGGAGACCTCCGTAACTGGTATGTATCAATCACTCAGGGTCTTTGATGTGCACATTATTAGCATGCTATATAAACAGAAATGGATTGGGGAAATTGAATCAGGACAATTACGTCTCCAAAATAAAAGAATCCAACTCTATGGTTTAGCTCCCCTCTCTCCAAGCTAAAAGAAGACTCACAATGTCCACAAAGGAGCTTAGCACAACTCTTATCCAGGAATAAGGAAATTTTCCTTCTTCAAATGTTAGAAGCAAAACAAGGAAAAAGCAATGTATTTAACAGAAGGGACCTCTGTGAAATGAATATAGAAAAACAGGGAGAAAAAAATGGTTAGGAACTTGGGAATATTAAGAGATTTCTCTATCCTAAGGAGAGGATACTGTAATCCTGCCTTCACTTACTCTCATTCTGCATTTATTTTAGGTACCTTTAAAAATTCAGGCATCTCTAGGTCAGATTCCCTAGAAGCAGTGCCTAAGACAGTAATCAGTATGCAGGCAACTCATCAGGGAGTGCTTTTAGGTAAAAGCGAGAAAGGGAAGCAAGGGCAGGTGTGGCGGAAGAAGCTAAGTGGGGATGTGGGCTCAGCTTCAGCCAGATACCACAAGAAGCACTGAAGCATGCATTTCACCAGGTTTGGTCCCACACCTTGAAGCAAGGGGCAAGCCTCTTCTATCCCTGTGTCAGTCAGTCATTGCCTGTAAGTTGCTGCCAAGAGCCTGAGGTAGGTGGCAGTCTAATCCCTTTCCACAGGTGGATGAGATGGATGAGAGCCAGTCTCCATGATAACTCCCCACAGTTTCATCCCTCATGCCTTTGCATAGTCCCCTTCTACAATGAAGAGGGATGACCTGTGTAACCTATGGAATATTGCAAAAACAATAGTATGTGATTTCTGAGTCCAGCTCATATAAGACGGCAGCCTCTGCCTTGCTCTCTCTTAGATTTCTTGTTCTGAGGGAAGTTAGCCGCAATGTGAAGACACTCAAGCAGTCCTATGGAGAGGTCACTGTGACAACAAACGGAGGCCTCCCACCAACAGCCATGTGAGCAAGCAATCTTGGGAGATGATACTCCAGCCCCACTTGAGCTTTCAGATGACCACAGCCCTAGCTGCCTTCTTGACAGCAGTCTCTCTAATGACCCTGAGCATGAACCCCGCAACTAATTAGCTCCCAAATTCCTAACAGAAAATAGGATAATAAATGCTTATGGTTGGTTTAAGCCACTACGTTTTGGAATGATTTGTTAGATTGCAATAGATAAGAAATAATACCAATGGCTCCTATTTGTTGAAGGCAATTTCCCAGGGACTAGAGCAGCTATGAGTTGGAACACAGCAGCCAGGAGGCAGGTAAAAGGGCCAGGTGAAGAGGATATGAGTAGGGCCAACAGCAGCACCCACAACCTTAGTTATTTCTCATATTATATTTGTTCCACTACACTTTCCATACCACTTAGACACAACGTGTAATGTTATGAAGTTAATGAGGGCTCAGTCATGAACTTAACGATGGCTTAGACATTTTCATTTTTAAAATGTTAATTGGCAACAATGTACAATTCAAGACCTTGTGAAAATATTCTTCAAAAATGAAGATGTCTGCAGACAAATGAAAGCTGCAAAAATTCATCACCTGTAATAATCAACAAAAGCTATACTAAGGCTAAAGCAAAAAGATTCTAGATAAACACATGAAACTGGAGAAAAAAACAAGAGCACCAGAAAGGATAAAATGTGTGAGAAATTATAAGTAAGTATTATTATATAGCAGTAGTTGTCCTGGGGATTGTGAAAATATTGGTAAGAGTAAGCTATTTGTTGGTAAAATAGCATAAAAAAAGGGAAGAGGGTAATGGAGTGAAACTATCCTAAGTTTCTTATATTGTTCAATGAAGTAGTAAAAGTTACAATTTAGACAGTAAAAATTAAAAATGCATATTGTGATCTCTATAATAACCATTAAGAGAATAAAGAAATACAAATTTAAAAAGTTATAAAAGGATAAAAATAATAAATATTTGTTAAACTCAAAAGAAGGCAAGAAAGGAGGAATTTTTAAAAAAGACATGCAGTAAAGAGAAAAAAAAGAGCAAGACAGCAGTCTTAAGCCCAGCTACCTTCAGGATATTGTATGTTTCTGTATACAAAAGGATTAAATATTCCAATGATAAAGACTGATTTATCACCACTTAATAAATACTGTTGGCCTACACCCAAAAAAAGGTAGCTAGTTAAATTAGTTATAAGTCAACCACGGTTATGGTGAGGCATAACCATGTGCATAGGACACAACACCCCAAAATATAACTGTAGGAGACCAGAATATGCCACCCCAAAATATAACTTTTTGTCATTTTGATTACTTTGAACTGGTTATTTTGAGAAACTGAAGACACAGGAAAGGCTCTGAAAACCTGCTCTTTTGTAAAAGAAGTTTACATCTATAAAGAAAATTTTCCTTAGTAAAGGTATCTGAATCAGGAAGAGAACTTCTAGGAGACCTAGTTTGTCTTTATCACCAGTGCGAAGTTTACCTGTGTAACAAGGCAAATTTTATTTCCCATCCCTTTCCTCCACTCACCCTCTCAATAGTTTGTCTTCACTACCCACTAGAAGATCCAGCTCTGTATTCCTTTCTTTAGCTCAGGATGCTATATAAGCTTCAATTACCTGGCCTTTCCTTAAGCCCCATATTTTTGTGGGACTCCCATTCCTATATATGTAATTAAAATCGTTTTTCTATTAATCTGCCTTATATTAATTTAATCTGTACTCCAGCTAAAGAATTTCAGAGTGTGGAAGGAAGACATTTTCCCCTCCCTGACAATTATATTAACATTACCTCAAAAGAATAGGTTGAATACTGGAAGACTAAAATATAAATTAAATTCTTCCTCTGTCACAAAGACCTGAAATAGTTTTTCTAAATTAGGGTGCCATATCTCTAACATAATTTTAAACAACAAAATTTTCATAATACACAAAATCTAAAGTATAAACTATGACAATATAATTTGAAAAGGTTATGCCTTATTTATAATGTAAAATGCATCTTTAATTTTTGGCAAACATAGAATAGTGTTTATTTTCATTTATGTTGGCAAAGACGCTGATGGATTTTACAATTCCTATTTTTTCAGCTATTACAGAAACTAAGCTATGGAAACTGCTAAATTATTTTGTTTCATAGCTTTCCTTTAATGGTTTTGGTTTGGTTTAAATTTATAGAAAGTAGTTTCTGCTAGAGGTATTCTCTTGGGAATTACTCAAAGTAAATTTTAAAAAAGGATACCTGAGGAAAACTATTGTTAAACAAATATTATAGGCCATTGTTTTGAACTGAACTCTTGCACTAGGCCTCAACAGACCAGCCTAAACCAAAATGGAATCAGTCATGCTAAATGCCATATCATCAAACTGAAACTTTAAGGAAACAGATCCCAAAACAGACCACTTTTTCCTAAAAACAGGAGATTCCAGGAAATCTGAGTCACTGTAATAAGGAAGTCCCCTCTGCTTTAACCCTTTTAAAAAGTAATCTGAGACGGAGTCTCGCTCTGTTGCCCAGGCTGGAGTGCAATGGCATGATCTCAGCTCACTGAAAGCTCCGCCACCCAGGTTCACGCCATTCTCCTGCCTCAGCCTCCCGAATAGCTGGGACTACCATCAAAAATAATAATAATAATAATAATAATCTGAAGTAACCTGATGTTAACCAATCAGTTTATTTTATTTTATTTTTTCCTATTGTTCTGTTTTCTCATTTCCACCTTACAAAACCCACTGTCCTGAACTTGCCCAGTGGGAGTTCTCATTCCATTTTCTGGAATAGAGGATTCTCTCATTCATGAATCACAAATAAAAGCCAATTAGATCTACAACTAAATTTGTTGTAATTTTTTCTTTTAACACTATTGAGGATATACAACTAATTAATAAAACTAACTTAGAAAATATTAATTTTTACTTCCCTTTTGTATGAATTACACAAAGCAGTGGTTTTGTTAATAATTTGGATGTTTTCCTTGTCTATTTTTTTAAGTAATCTTTCCTTTTATTTTAATTAATGGGTTATAGTAGGAAATCCAAACAAGTCAACAACTGTTCTCAGTCATTTATATTTTATCTCTGTGTGGATGGTCACTGTATCTACAATACAGTATAATAAAAAAAGATCTACATTCAGCATATGAGATGGCAAAAAAAAGATTGTGGAAAAATTGAGTATTATTAGCTTTCACGAAAATTTTGACAAGGGAGTTTGAACTACTTTTTAATTAGAAGAACTTGATTTTAAAAAACACTTTTCATCTAAACTTTAAAATAATTGTGTGTGTTAATATGTATGCATATATAAACACACCTATATTTTCTCAGATACAGAAGGTTCAGTTAAGCATATTCCTCAATTCCTGCCATACTATCACAATTTACCCTTGAACATTCCTGCTTTATTATTTTATTATCTTAATTTTTTAATTCATCCCTCACCCTCTTTCTTTTCTATAAATACTCATTCTAATGTATATAATATAAATACTCTGCTATATCCCATCCTTGAAAATATATACTGATTTTATTTAATAATGTTTTTAATTCATATAATGGCATTGTACTATTGTTCTCATTCTGCACAATGTGTTTTCTCTGTAATCTCAATGAGATTTTTTGCTGTATGAAAATGTGTTCATTGCTTCTGACTGCTTCATAATGTTCCAAAGTCTTATATTTTACTTTTCCATTTTTCCTAGATGTGGATAGTTTGCTTCTAATGCTCAGCTATCACAAATAATCAAGAATGCCTCCTCTGGGTATAAGCAAGTTTCCTTAGGACACATCCTAAGTAGTAGACTCTAGTGCATAGGGTATGTGAGTTTTGCCAGGTGCAGCAGGAGGAAACTGTACCAGTGCACAAAATGATCATCCACACAGAAAACCTAATATGATCAAAAGGCCAACCATTAGAAACAGAGTTCAGAAAAATAGCCATTTATAGCATTATCCTAATATCTTTGTTCAAATCAATCTATATAGTCAATATAACTCCAATTGAAATCCAACAAAAAGATACTATATTTTGAAAACTAAATTTCAAAATATCTAAGAGAATTTTGAAAATGAGAGTAAATATAGTGACTTACCTTACAAGATTTTATAAAATCCTTAAAAGCAAAAGCAATTGCAATAACAGAAATCAGTAAAAATCTGCAGAAAACAACTACTGACTTATTAACAGACGATAGGCCAGTATAATTACATGAACTTAGAATGAGTGTGAGGTGAAAGAAAAGAACACAAAGGGGGAAAGGATGGACTGTTTTAGGGTTTTTTGGGGAAATTGGATCAGAATATGGAAAATTTGACTTGGAAACTTACCTTATATATACAGATATATTCCCTATGTATTATGTATAATAAGAGAAAAAACCATAGAGCTAGTAGAAAAAATATAGTAGAATCTCTTTTTGAGTTGATGCAGGCAAGAAATTTTAAACAAAAAAGAAAACTTGATAACCTTGATATCAAAGTTAAGAATTTATATTTAACAAGGTCATCTTAGACTAAGTTACTAATCACTTTATTTTATTTTACATTAAATGAACTATTTTCTTAGATAAAAAATGTTTTCAATGTCTAAAAGGAACAAATTAATATATGGAATATAAAAAGGAACTTCTACCAATAAATACATTTAATCTGAAAAAAAATCTAGTAGAAAACCCAGCTAACACTGAAAAGGAAATTCAGATAAAACAGAAAAAAAATAGAAATATGGTAATGCATTTTTCAAAAACTATAGTTAATGTTAAGAACGATAAGAAAATAACTCATCCATGAAACAAGAATGGGATGTGAATTTAAAAAGAGACCAATGAAAAATATTTGGAAATTAAAGATATGAAAAGAAACATCACTTTATTCACCACCAAAGGAATTCAGTCTTTCACCCAGTTCCCAGTTCACACATCAAAGCACCTTGACTGAAGGCTGGGATCCCTTGAGAAAGAACCTTGCATAAGTAAAACCACTATGTAATATAAATCTTCCTCCATCCATTCCCTACAGGGACCTGTGGCTATTTTCCTTCCAGGAATTATTAGACACTACCTCTGTACTGACTTTTATCCCAAAGACCCAGAATACCATTATCCTGTGAGTCTAAATAGAGGCTTACAGAGGTCAAATGAAAATCGAGTTTTAGGCTCAATCTGTCTCACATTGGGACATTCAGTCCACAGACCCACCCTGTAGTTATTTCACACTCCTGAACACAGATTTGAACTAGACATACTTACCCATCGCACAATCCCCATAAAGAGTCCCCAACTCACGGAGTGAACGCCAAATTGAAATTCCTGAAATTCGGGCCAATATCCCTGATGAACATCAATATGAAAATCCTCAATAAAATACTGGCAAATTGAATCCAGCAGCACATTGAAAAACTTATCTACCACAATTAAGTCACCTTCATCCCTGGGATGCAAGGCTGGTTCAACATACGCAAATCAATAAACATAATCCATCACATAAAAGAACCTATGACAAAAACCACATGATCATCTCAACAGATGCAGAAAAGGCCTTCAATAAAATTCAACATCCCTTCATGTTAAAAACTCTCAATAAACCAGGTATTGATGGAACATATCTCAAAATAATAAGAGCTATTTATGACAAACCCACAGCCAATATCATACTGAATGAGCAAAAGCTGGAAGCATTCCCTTTGAAAATGGGCATAAAACAAGGATGCCCCTTCTCAACACTCTTATTCAACACAGTATTGGAAGTTCTGGCCGGGGCAATCAGACAAGAGAAAGAAATAAAGGGTATTCAGATGGGAAGACAGGTATTAACTTGTCTCTGTTTTCAGATAACATGATTCTATATTTAGAAAACCCCATCATTTCAGCCTAAAACTCCTTAAGCTGATAGGCAACTTCAGCAAAGTCTCAGGATAAAAAAATCATTGTGCAAAAATCACAAGCATTCCTATAACTCAACAATAGACAAGGAGAGAGCAAAATCATGAATGAAATCCCATTCACAATTGCTACAAAGAGAATAAAACACCTAGGAATACAGCTAACAAGGGATGTGAAGGACCTCTTCAAGGAGAACTACACACCACTGCTCAATGAAATAAGACAGGACAAAAACAAATGGAAAAACATTCCATCCTCATGGATATGAAAAATCAATATAGCAGGCCATGCCCGGTGGCTGACGCCTGTAATCCCTGCACTTTGGGAGGCTGAGGTGGGCAGATCATAAGGTCAGGAGTTTGAGACCAGCCTGGCGAACATGGTGAAACCCCATCTCTACTAAAAATACCAAAATTAGCCAGGTGTGGTGGTGCATGCTGTAATCCCAGCTACTCGGAAGCTGAGGCAGGAGAATTGCTTGAACCTGGGAGGCGGAGGTTGCAGTGAGCCGAGACTGTGTCACTGTACTCCAGCCTGGGCGACAGAATGAGACTGTCTCAAAAACAAAACAAAACAAAACAAAAATTGTGAAAATGGCCATACTGCCCAAAGTAATTTACAGATTTAATGTTATTCCCATCAAACTACCATTGACATTCTTCACAGAATTAGAAAAAACTACTTTAAATTTCATATGGAACCAAAAAGAGCCCGTATAGCCAAGACAATCTTAAGTAAAAAGAACAAAGCTGGAAGCATCACACCACCTGACCTCAAACTATAGTACAAGGCTACAGCAACCAAAACAACATGGTACTGGTACCAAAACAAATATATAGACCAATGGAACAGAGCAGAGACCTCAGAAATAACACCTCAAATCTACAACCATCTGATCTTCACCAAACTTGATAAAAACAAGCAATGGGAAAAGGATTCCCTATTTAATAAAAGGTGCTGGGAAAACTGGCTAACAATATGCAGAAAACTGAAACTGGACCCCTTCCTTACACCCTATATAAAAATTAACTCAAGACAGATTAAAACTTAAATGTAAAACCCCAAACCATAGAAACACTAGAAGAAAACCTAGGCAATACCATTCAGGACATAGGCATGGCCAAAGACATCATGATAAAAACACCAAAAGCAATTGCAACAAAAGCCAAAATTGACAAATGGGATCTAATTAAACTAAAAAGCTTCTGCACAGCAAAAGAAACTATCATCAAAGTGAAAAGGCAACTTACAGAATGGGAGAAAATTTTTGCAATCCACCCATCTGACAAAGGTCTAATATCCAGAATCTACAAACTTCAATTTACAAGAAAAAAAAAAAAACATCAAAAAGTGGGCAAAGGATATGAACCGACATTTTCAAGAGAAGACATTTATGCAGCCAACAAACATATGAAAAAAACCTCAACATCACTGATCATTAGAGAAATACAGCTCAAAATCACAATGAGATACTATCTCACGCCAGTCAGAATGGCGATCATTAAAGAGTCAGAAAACAACAGATGCTGGAGAGGCTGTGGAGAAATAGGAATGCTTTTACACAGTTGGTGAAAGCATAAATTAGTTCAACCATTGTGGAAGACAGTGTGGTGCTTCCTCAAGGATCTAGAACCAGAAATACCATTTGACCCAACAATCCCACTACTGGGTATATACCCAAAGGATTATAAATCATTCTACTTTAAAGACACATGCACATGTATGTTTATTGCAGCACTATTTACAATAGCAAATACATGGAATCAATATACAAATGTCCATCAATTATAGACTAGATAAAGAAAATGTGGTACATATACACCATGGAATACTATGCAGCCATAAAAAGGAATGAGACCGTGTCCTTTTCAGGGACATGGGTGAAGCTGGAAGCCATCATCCTCAGCAAACTAACACAGGAACAGAAAACCAAACACCGCATGTTCTCACTCCTAAGTGGGAACTGAATAATGAGAACACATGTATATAGGGAGGGGAACATCACACAGCAGGGCCAGTCGGGGTGGGGAGCAAGGAGAGGGAGAGCATGAGGACAAATAGCTAATGTATACAGGACTTAAAACCTAGAGGACAGGTTGATAGGTGCAGCAATCCACCATGGCACACATACACCCATTTAACAAACCTACACCTTCTGCACTTTTATCCCAGAACCTAAAATAAAAGAAAATAAAATAAAGGAAAAGAAAAATAAAATAAACCACCTAAAAGTTGAGCTGAACACAATAAAAAAAAGACATTCCTCTCCTGACAAAAATACTAAAACAAAAATGTATCATATCCCTGTGGAATTGCTGAGATTAGGGCCACTTCAAAAACATGAAAAACACAGTGGTGATGATTCCTAACACCTCGCTACTTACCTCGCCTATTTGGCTGGTCTGTGCACACTGAGATGGACTTGGTGAAGGTTGGCTTATCAGAAACAGAGTCAGAGGGTGACTCCAATTACAGATGTTCCTTTATACGTGGTGACTACTTGGGCAAATCCAAATATGTCCTGACACCTGCTATGCAGCTAATGATTTGGCAAATTCTTTTACCTCCTTACCAATTAGTAAGGACAGTTGGAAATAATTCACTTTTAGCTGGCAAGGACCCCTTCACTGTTAGATGTCAAAAACTTTCCCAGTCCATGGTAGACAGGAGCCTTGATTGTCTAGATATCCTGTGGGACATAATGCTGACAATAAAATATGGATCACATCACCCAAATGTCTTAGTAGACATATTTGTGCCTCTGTGGTGGAAAGTACTGACATTTCCAGTGCTTGACAATTCAGCAATGTTTCTAAATGTGGCCTGGATGTTACTGGGATATTCTTCTTATATAAAAGGAAAATTTCTGCACCTAAGATAACCTAAAACTCAGGAAGAGATAGAGTGCTTTTTAGATTCCTTTACATACTAGAAAAAAATCATATTATTCACTTTGGTGTGTTGCTCTAGCCCATTTACAGAATAGCCCAAAAGAGCTTTAATCTGAGAAAGAAAAGGCTCTGTTGCTTACTCATTTGCAAGGTGCTCTGATGGTGAGTCCAGTTAAGCCTGTTTACTTATTCAGTGCTATCTGAAGTTTCATGGCTGTGTGGGTTAGCTGGTTATTTGGTTAGTTGCTTTGCAATTGAGCTCTGGTAGAAACTACACACTTGACCATGACCTAGCAAGTGACCGTGCAACCTGAGATTGCCGTGAAGAACTAAGTACTACCTGATCTGCCAGGCTATAAGACTAGGCTCGAATAGAAGTAATTACAACCAAGTGGAAGTGATCTATTGGAAATCAGGCTCAAGCGGTAGAGAAAGAACAAGGCACACGAGAAGGTAGCCCAGACTCAGCATCCACTCGTGCTACATTGCTCATCTATTTCAATGGAAATTTATGACCTCATGGGGAATAATCAGTTGATGAGGGATACATAAAATTCAGGGTTAGTTTACAGAGAAACCTGTACAATAAATAAGCAACTAGCAGAAATATAATGCCATGGCAATGAAGCCCCTCTAAAGAGTGGTAATAAAAATTAGTGTAAAATTGAAATGCATAAGTGGACTCATGTGCAGTTCCTATGGTTGTTCACTCCGTGTGGCAGGAGACAAGCATGTGTTGGATCTATGCTGATTCATGGACAATGGCTAAACATGGCTGGATGGTCAGGGACATCAAAACAATGAGTTTGCAAGATTGGTGACAAGAAGGTCTATTCAGTGGCCAGGATAGATACTTTTAAAACCTTTCACTTGTATGAGCCCCTTATTGTTCCTGAGCCAGTTTGTAACATTTCACCTGCATTGGTTTCATTTTGCTAGTGAATAGATTATATTAAAGGTTGGGTTTTGTTTTGTTTTCCAACTGGGTTGTTTTGCTGGTGAAATACAACACCTCGAAGGACTTCAGATCTTCTGTAGATGGGTTTTATTATAAAAACACCCTAGACAAAATATACTGATTTTTCAAGTGCAAGAAATGATTGCTGATCATTGTAGGTGTTTAGATAAAAAGAACAGCTACTTTACATGTAAAATAAAATGCTAATTCTTTTTAGCTGTAGAAAATAGCCAGCAATAGCCCAGATCTTTATCCCATGCATACAGCCCATCTGATGAGAGAATGAGGCAATTAGGTGTCCTATCCCAAAAAAGAAAGAAACAGATTTTAGATTATAGAAAGCTTATGTGAAATACCTTATATATGAATTATTCATAGAGTATTATTAGAAATAATTATTTACTAAATGAATATAAAATTCTGAATTTCAGTCCAATTCAAAAAGTACTGACTTAGAATCTAGTGTTTGCCAGGACATACACTGACTGGTCAACTAAACACACACACATATAATAATTTCCTCTAGTTTTAAGAGCTTTACATTTTAAGCATCCATTATCAAGCAAAGGAACACAAAATGAGGCCTGAATTTAACCTGTGAAATATGATGGACACGGTGGTAGAAATGTGAGTTAGCGAGCCCTATGGGATGTGTATTATTTTGAATCAACAGATAACCATTTCTAGCATTTCATGTAAAATTATGAAAACTTCTTCTTATTCAACTTTTTAAAATATATGTTAAACATTCAGTAATACCTATCACATCATGTAAATGTATTATCTTTCTGTCTTTCACTGTCCAATACAATAGCCACTAGCCATATTTACAATTTAAAATTATAATCATCAGTCAGTAGCCACTAGCCACATTTACAATTTAAAATTCAATCCTCAGTCACACTGGTCACATTTTAAGCGTATGATGTCACATGTGCCCAGGGCCCCCAATATGACCTTCCATGTTATATTATGGAAATCTTCCATTATCACAAAAAGTTTTCTTGGTCTTATAAGTGGAACCTGTCTTCCAAATTAATGGAACAGGTGCAGCCACTGATTTTTAAAGTTAATGAATATTGATCCTTTTTTTTTTTGTCCATATTGAATTTTATTCGATTTAATTGAATATGTTCTATTCTGTTGTAAAATTAATGGCTTACTTTCTTTTCTCTTTCTGGTTGTAAAACAAATGTCTTACTTTCTTCTGTTGGCAAGCGTCTCTTCACTGTTCCTTGTGGTGGTCTTCATTCCATGCTTCTCTTTGCTCTGATCAAAAGAACAACGGGGGCTTTGTGTGGGTGTTCTTACAGGGCGGCCACAAATCCTATTTACCTTTTAAATAGAAAACATTAAAAGGTAGTTAGAAATCGTACTCCACCTTTCTGAGAATGTGATGTTTCATAGGGCCCAAAACAATGACACGTTTTTGCTTTCACCTCAATATTAATCTTAAATATAATATGTATATATAATGTTTGTCAATTTTTCTAACAGAGGAAAGTAAATTATCTGAATACGGCAATTATGATAAATGGATGTCATGGACATTTATGTGGTATGCAGTATACATGTGTAAGATACGCAAAATCAGACAACTATATTAATAAACTGACTTATTTGTGTAACATTACTTTACCAAAATAGATATTATTTATGATTTATATGTATAACTAATCACATACTTGTCCTATTTTAAAATGAAATAAGTTGCTGTTGAATATGGGATCCTTTTCTAAATGAATTCCAAGGCCAAAAGCAAATATCTTTGTAGTTTTCTTCTTAACGTCCTTTCTTAGAAATGACGATTAATATTTTTAATATGAAGATCTCCTTGTATAATAGTTCTGCATCTTCTTTCTCAGTCTGGTGTAATTTTAGGGTGTTATTACAGTGTTTTTTAAAAAATAATTTATCCCCATTGAAAAATGTATTGTTTCTTTAATACTTATCCAGTAAAGAGCTCTGTATAATTTACATAATTATCATTGAAAAAATTAAGTAATTATTTTACCATATAAAGCATCAAAAAGATTTATATGATACCTTGTATAATTGAAAAGGCAGAGTAATATAACTGGAAATACGTAAAAGCATTGCCTGGAATCAGGAGACTCTGGTTCTGGTCCTAATTTTTCCTTTCTTTATATTGAGACCTTAAAAATATAACAGAACCTCTTTGAATGTGATTTCCTAATGTGCACAATGAAGAAGTTAGAACAAATTATTCCAAAGTTCCCTTAAAGTTATAAATCTCTTTGATTTTCCATGTAATGAGTATTGAAGAAGCTATGCATCCATTTCATTTATTTTACCCATATTTATTTTATTTCTAGTATTTGCAAAGCACATATATTAAATGTTATAATAGGGAAAATATGAGTAACTAAAGTTTCTCCTAATAGAGCTTGTAATTTAAGAGGGAAGAAATAAAGGAATCCTTCCAATCATCAAAATGCAAGTTGTATGTGTCAAAAAAGTGAGGCTGACAATGGATGTCTGAGAGAGGTGGGATCCTTGCCCAGTGGGGGTGGTGGGTGAAGAAGGATATCAGCAAAGACTACCCCGGGAAAGGCTACTATCCATCGGGATGAGACTTGGAGCATCTGTTGAGCCTGGATATGTTGAGGTTTATTTCAGTTCAATCAGATTAAAAATAAATATCTGTTATACCCTACTATGTTAATTGCTAGAGATACAAATCTGAATAAGGCATGGCCTCATGTACACAGTTGAGATGAAAGTTACACAGGTAAAATAGCAACTGTCATATAACATGACAAGAGCAACCCATTACAAGGATGTCAAAACGTTGTAACACATGGTTCTAGCAACTACACTGTGCATTTGGAACAAGAAGTACATGGTGTGAGAAATGGGTGTAGCAAGAAGAGGTAAGGCTGGTGTGAAAGACATAAACATGCCATCATACGACTTGGATACCGAGCTAAAGGACTTGTGAGAGCAAATGGAATGCAGGCAAAAGCTTCCAAGCAGGGAAAGCGCTGCTTCAGATTTCCACATGAGAAAACTCATCACAGCAGCTGTGCAGATGGAGGAAAAAGGGAGGTCCTTCAGCAGGCCCATGGAAAATGTCAAGGCCAGAAGTCGGCAGAGAAGCAGTAAAATGGAAGGAGTGGATTTCAGAGACGCACAGGAGGGACAAGAGTAGCACTTGGATATGGATTTGATAGAGAGTTTTCTCAGAACAAAGAACAGTGATGATGGGCAAAGGAAAAGTCCTCAGAGGGTAGGTGCCAGAAAACATGAGGCTGACATGGACAATTGACAAAATTTTGCTTTGCTTGGAAAGATGGGTTCCTGACTGGTAAGCATAAAAGGAAATTATATTTAAAGGGTAAGTCAGAGAAAAGATTTTGGAGGGCTTTAAATGCCAGGCTAAGGAGCTTTATTTTTTAGATAAAAGCTCCTGATGGTTGCTCAAAATGTAAAATGCCACAGCTGAAGTTTAGCAAATGCATGAGGCCGCACTGTAGAAGTTGGACTAGAGAGAGAAAACCATTCAAGGCAAGTAAACTGTTAATAGACTTTTCAAGTAGTCCTGAATAAGAAATCTTAATTTTGAACTGCAGTAGTGACAGTGTTCATGAGTTACAGATAGAAGAGAGGCAAAGTCAACAGGGCCGGGCAAATGATTGACAGTGAGAAGTAAAAGAAGCATAAGGATAAGGTGGTAAAAGGCTCAAAGTGAATTTCCACTTTGAAAAATAGTGATAGTGAAGTATAAATCTATTAGAAACGTGCTAAATTATTCACAAAAATGAGGAAAGTATGTTCGCTGTATGTTCATCAACAACTCCTAGTAACAAGAACCCAAGGAAGACGATCTAAGTTGACAGTGGTTTTAAGTGGATAGAGTAAGATTATTTGGCCACACCACAGAACAGTTTGAAATAAAGAAGCAAAGAGGAAGGGAAACAGAATCTGCAATCACGATCCAGTGTGCCTTGTCATAGGGTTTGAGGCAAGTTATGGAACTTCTATGTATCTTAGTTTTCTCATCTTTGAAACTCAAGAAAATAAAACGACTTTGAAGTTATGAGTTCAGAGAAATCTTATCTCATCCTGTCCCTCCCTCGTCAGACCTCAGATTGTAACTGCTATTTATTGAACATGTTTCCTAGGAAGGCAGACTGAGAGCTGAAAAATACCAGCCTTGCAACACCTTTATCCCCATTATCATCTTTGCAATTATTTTTTCAAATACAAAAGAAAATGCTCTAGCCATAGACTTATAAGATATCTTTGATTGTATCCAAAGATAAAAGCATATATAGCTGATTCTAATAAATGCAAGTAAATTTCAAAGCCCTTATATTTGTTGACTTGCTATGAGGGAGATTAACTTCATACTTTATTGAAAAGAAAAGGAAAACCATCTGTTATCAGGACACTACCCTGTCACCTCAGCTCCCTAGAGGTGAGCCAATTTGGGTGGCACCTTTCAATACTAGTACCTTCTTGCCATTGAAAAAACCTTCACACTTACGTTGACAATTTTTCGTCTCTGACTTATACTGCAATTTCCTTCTTAATTCTCCTCCCTGGTCTCTACCATTTTCCCCTGCAATCAGTCTGAAATGTCTTGGAAAAAATTGTTTTCCTCCCTAATGCTTATCTACTCCGGTTTTCAGTTCCTTCCCAGGCTTCCCACTGATTTTCAAGTTCCCATCTCACCTTGAAATGACTCTCTTAGTTGCTCCTAGCCCATATCACTTCCACCATTCTGATCAAGTATTTGTTTCAACAACTGCTTGTCACTTAGCTGACTTTCCCCATTCTCACTGTAATCTTGGCACTACGTGCAAAAGCACAAACTTATCTTTAGAGCCTCCCCCAACTGTGCACTCAGTCTTATTCAAATGTTCAGATTTTCAAAGCATTTTACAAAAAAACTTTGTAAAGAATAACTTCAATTGTTTATTTTCATTAGACTCAAAAAGCGGAGCTCCTCTTTCTTTTTGTTTTTGTTTTCTTTCTTTTTTTTTCCAGACAGGATCTCACTCTGTCGCCCAGGCTGGAGTGCAGTGCCATGATCATGACTCACTGCAGCCTTGACCTCCCTGGCTCAAGCAATCCTCCCACCTTGGCCTTACAGAGTAGCTGGACTATAGGCGCATGCCACCATGCCTGGCTTATTTTTTATCCTTTTATTTTTTTGTAGAGATGGGATCTCACTATGTTGCCAGGGCTGGTCTCAAACCCCTGGCCTCAAGTGATCCTCCCACCTCAGCCTCCCAAAATGCTGGAATTACAGGCATGAGACACCGTGCCTACCCCATAGTCTCCATTTCTTTTGCAATGGTACTTCCTTAATGTTTATTAATAATAATACAAGTTGAAAAGCAAAAATGTTTAGAATATTACAAATTGAAAAGGAAATTACAAATTGAAAAAAAAAAGGAGGTAGTTCGAGTGATTATTAAGCACACTGGGTTAGAGGAGGAGGCACAGGCTCACTTCACAGTCCCTTGGATGTCAGGGTAACTGATTGCTTTGCTTCAGGCCACATCTGGGATGCTTGGTGTTAACAGAGAGGCGGTTAATAGATTACATAAGGCATGAGTCTGCATGTATCCTTGATAATAATAATGATACATAAATAAAATAAGAAACAAAGTAGTTTGTGGACACATGTGCTGTGCTCCATTATATTAAATAACTCATATCATTATATTAAAAGCTAATTTTAAACTGTCCAGAGGAACTATGCTATTGGTAATTTTTTCTGTTATAACAACAAATTTGAGTTTATTTTCTCATGTTCAGTTCCCTTATGATTCTGAGAACTAGTTTCTAAAATTGCTGGCTGATTTTAGGGGTAAAATCTGTTCCCACAAATCTGTTCTTCTCAGTGTTGGAGAAGCTAATTCTTCAACACAGAGAGAAAGTCCACGATTTTAGTTTTATTTCAATGAGAACAAATTTAGGAAGGTAGTAAGTTGGGCCAGGTCACTATGGGGGCAGAGGTAATGTCCCAGATACATTAGATTTGGATTTTATTTTTCAGACTATTGTACTATATTAATAACTAATGGGCAAGGGAACAGAATTATCAAAGCCCTGTTTTAGAAAGATCTGCTATAGTCATTGCAATCAACAAAGGGACTATTCCAATAGGTGAGGTAAGAGAATATTGGAATAAACTCAGAACCAGTGAAATCAGAGAGGAAAAGGGAAAGTTCCTTTATGAGTGCAGTGAATGGTATTTGACTAGGGGTTGACTCCCTATATAAGGTAAGAATGAAGAAGTTAAAGCTCTTGGTGGTTTTAAACCTAGTAATCGGGATGATTAAAGAGCCAGACACTGATATATGGAAGTTAGAAGGTAGAACAAATTTAGTTTATGGTGTACCTGTTTTTTTTTTGGAGGGAGAGATTAATTCTCATTTTGAGCTTTAATTGTGAGGTAATTTCTAAAAGACAGCTCTAAATAATAGATTGGAGATCAAAACCAAGTTAATGAATAGAATTGCATGCATAGAGCCAATAGTTAAACCCATGCAAATAGATGAAATCATAAAATGTATATAAAATGTAAATGGCAGAAGGAAAATCTTTCAGATGCAGGAGAAAGAGAACTCGTATAATATACTGTCCCCACCCCACAAAAAAGGAGGAGGAGAAGAGCTTTTACTATGTTGCTACGTTTGTATCAATAGAAATGAAAAAAAAATAAATAAAAATAAGTGATTACAAAATATTATGCCCTAAAACTATGAAACAACTGCCATCCAAATAGTAGATATGCTACATTCAAGGTACAAATAATTCCATAAGCCAGGTACGGAAAACATATAAAAGTTATAACCATAATACCACTTTTAAAACACTAGTACATTCTAGTATTGCAACAAGGAATATTTATAGGAAGTTATAAATTATTAAGACTCCATAAAGCACTGCCTTTAAACAAGCTACCCATAAGGAAAATTCCAAATTTGTACAAGGTGCCCAGTTCTTGGGGAAAACCAAATAAAGTAATGTTAAGGTTAAGTAAGAGAGGAAACACATACTATCTCTGCTTGGCAAGAATTAGAGGTATGTTTATGCTATGGTTAGCAAAGAGTAAAGAAGGTCTTCTGTTTAAAGTGTTTACTTGGAGGCATGGATCCTTTCAGTTTTCCACAAGTTGCTTCTCCACATGGATTTCTGCTAGATATTGTCATAAATTTTCCCATTCTAACTCATATTATATTTTGAATTAAGGAAAAGAATAAGGAGGAAGAGGCAGAGGAAGGGAAAGACAGGGAGAAGCAGAAGCACGTTTTAATAATCTCCTATTGGCCCCACTGTGAAAAGAATCTTGATTCCACGTTGCTATTTTTGCATTCCTATATATTAAACCACCAGAGGGCGCTTCTGCATTTCATTCCTATTCATAATTATTAATTAAACTTACTGTATGGGTCCATTTAAAGCATTTAGTTCAGGCTCTTAAAGGAAAATCCAACTTGTAAGCCCAAGTGACAAGTGCTTAGATATGAGAAATCTTCAGAAAAATCTAGTCTTTTATGGAAAACCACCAGGCTGAGGCTGCAGGGCCAATGTCGTTAAATAAGAAATGGAAAACCAACCCATAATTGTAGACTAATTTGTCCAGACTGAGCTCTCTCAAAGTCAGGAATAGAGATACTGAGAATTGACCAAGGATTTCAATTATTTCCCCTTTTTCTCTTTCTCTCTTTTTCTTTCCTTCCTGATTTCCAGTTTTAAAGATGCCTTTGTTTAAGAAGTTCAAAGACTGAAAGCCAAATCAATTTTTGTTCTTGTTTAGCTGCAGATGACAATGTCAATCAATACACTGAGCCCTCATTATTGGTAGGACATTATTGTAGTAGATGGGAATAGAGCAAGGAACCTTCTCTCTAGGAGCTTATATTCCAGTGAGAAAACTAAAATTATGACATTAAATAGACAACTTTAAGTCTTGATGAATGTTATTTAGTTAAGAATGCATCATTGGTAGTGGAATGGGGTAGAGTGGGGGTGGGGTGCTCCAGCCAGGTGGTCAATTGGTTTAAATACTATTTTCTACTTGTTTGGAAAGTAGTATTTAGGTTATGTTCTGAATAATGTTAACAAACAGCCATGGGAAGATCACAGGGAAAAACTTTATATGCAGAGAGAACAACTCTAAAATAGAAGAGAAAGAAAGGCCACTGAAACTGAAAAATGCCACATAGTACTGGGGAGCCTAGGGGGATGAGGCAAGAGGCAGACTGGCCAGATCATCGGGTAGTTTCCCACATGCTCTGCCAAGGGCTAAATTTGTGTTCTAAGTGGGCTCTGAAGTAACTGGAGAATTTTGAGCATGGCAGTAACATGATCTCTTTTATGTTTCAAAAAAAATATCACACTGGCTGTCATTTGGAGAGATGTATGCACAGGGCATAAGAAAATGGACAAGAGGCTGGGCACGGTGGCTCACGCCTGTAATCACAACACTTTGGGAGGCTGAGGCAGGCAGATCGCATGAGGTCAGGAGTTCGACACCAGCCTGGCCAACACGGTGAAACCCTATCTCTACTAAAAACACAAAAATTAGCCAGGCATGGTGGCAGGCACCTGTAAGTCCAGCTACTCAAGGGGCTGAGACAGGAGAATTGCTTGACCCTGGAAGGTGGAAGCTGCAGTGAGCTGAGATTGCACCATTGCATTCCAGCCTGGGCAACAAGAGTGAAACTCAGTCCCCCCACCCAAAAAAAGAAAGAAAGAAAGAAAGAAAGAAAGAAAGAAAGAAAGAAAGAAAGAAAGAAAGAAAGAAAGAAAGAAAGAAAGGGAAGGAAGGAAGAAAGAAAATGGACAAGATAAAAATAGTGAATCCAGCTATGAAGTTTTGAGTGTGTTTCAGGGGAGAGATGATGTTGCCTTTGCTAAGGGTGGTCTATGAGGACTGAGATCCAGTTGGAAGATCTATCTATCTGGATCTATCTGTCTATCTATCTGGATCTATTTATTGAAGGAGGAGACAGCAGAACTTGAGGGGTGGATTAAACATAGCAAGTGAAAGAAAGACAGATTCATGAATCTCTGGTATCTTTTGTCTGAAGCGACTGGGCACATGAAGGTATCATTAAATGAGATAGAGAAGACTAAAGGAAGAGATTTGGGAAGAAATTAAGTCTCTCTTGGACATATTTGGCTTCCTATGACAATCACTCATCCAAGAGGAGCTGTCCAATATGCTGTTAGTTACCTGAACTGAAAGCTCAAGGGAGAGATCAGGCAAGGTACAAAAATGTGGTTTTCAACAGCAGGCAGTTGGATGAGCATAGGGGAAAGACAGTGCTGAAGACTGATTCTTGGGCATTCCAACATTTAGATGTGGAGACCAAAGGAAGTTGAAAATGATTCTGAGATGAAGCTCAAGGAGAAGTAAGGCAATCTCAGAAGAGTGAGTTATCTCAAACTACAAATGCAGAAAGCATTTATTGTTGTTTTTAAAGATTAAATGATTAAATGTTTCAAAAGCTACTGAAAATGCAAGTAAAATGAAGACTAAAATTCATCATTGGCTCTAATCAGAAGAACACTATCAGTGATTCGTGGAAAGTGTAGTTTCAGCACAGAGTCAGGTAAGAAAGCACAGTGATCAGTGGGGGTGCAAGAGATAAAGATAAATAAGAAATACACAAATCATTCACGGAATTTTGGAGAAGGAAGGCAGATTTATGGGACAAAGCCTAGAGAAGGGATGGAATCTAGTGAGATTCTGTTTTGTTTTGTTTTTTGGGGGGACAGTAGCCATTACCACATGATTATATTTTTAATGTAGAGACCTCGTTTCATATAATTTGATCCAAAATACTTCTATTGCAAAACAAGTGAGACAACATTTTCCATAGTGTGGAAGTGTCAGGGAGACATGCAGTTTAAACATATAACCTGAATTTGACATGCCTTTCTTTATAGCTTTATCCAAGGCTGATTAGAATTGTATTCACCTGCTTTGAAGGTACTAGATCATCTAAATGGAGATTTAGTAAAGAGAGAAATAAGAGAAAAAAAAAATGAGGGAGAAGAGTAAGTACATTGAACATTTCCATAAGATAAAGTGATTTTGGAATTAGAAATAAAGGAGTAGAATATATTTTATTCTAAAATTGGCAAAAACACCCATAAGTCCATCACCCCTTTTTATATTAGCTGTCTTTTTCCAATGAATTTTTACATGACAATTTTATATTCTTCTTTTTCAATTAAAATTGCATTGCAAACAGTTTCCTAAACCATAGATCTATTTTGTGAATATCATGTCAATAACTGAATAAAAGTAAAAATAATGGAGTAAGTTAGCTGGAATGGTAGGAAATAATGACCATAATGTGAGATATCTGACTTGCAGATTTCAGAGATAGTGCAGGTATTGGTGTTGGATTTGAGAAGGCAGAAGAAATCAGACACACAGGTTGGAATAATGATCTTGGATAATGCAAAAGTCTTCAGCTCCTGATGGTCACTGGTATAAACAGGAAAGTAAGGCTTCATAGACTTGATCCTAGCAGTCAGAGCACACATATTCAAGGACCTAGGGGCGGCTGGAGGGTCATGGCAGCTTGCACATCTGTGGAGGCAGGCCAAGACTTTGGCAGCAGTCAGCAGGATGCTGACTCACCAGAGCAAACGGGCAACTGCAGATTCTAGAACACGTGCTATTGACCTTAATCAATTCACTTGCAAGCTCTGTCCATCCTTTGACATTTGCAAAATAGACATACTTGATTCACATGCAGCTGTGATGTGAGGATTTGGTAAATAAATAAGTAAATAAATAAATAAATGTAGGTTTTTTTTTTCTCTTTAACTGTGTGAAGTATTATCAATAATGGCAATAAAAACTGGAAATAAAATACATTTTGCCCTCTAATTTCTTATCTTCAAAGAGTTTATACTCTAGTTAGGGAGGTAGAATTTCTAAGTATGAAATGTATTGATAATTATATAAAGTTAACTTCAGTACAATAGAAACACCATCTCAATGGGGTACAAAGTATGTGCCAAAGAAATGCTATAAGCCATGAGTGGTATAGGAGCCAGAGAAAATCACTGGGAACCAGGGTCTTCAGGGAAATCTTTAGATAAACCCTGAATAATTAGTGGAAAGAAAAGAGAGGAATTCTACCCTGAGGGCAAGAGTATGCAGATGGGGGTAGAATTCCAAACTGTGCTATTAATTTGGTTATACTCGGGAAAGCTTGATTCAATCACATTTTTAAATATGGTGTCCAAGAAAATATAATAATTTTCCTCACATGACCATTGAGCTTTGTGATATTTTAAACCCTCATGAGTTAGGTAGCACCACAAACTACAAAACTCTTCTTCATCAAGAGAAGAAAGCCAGCTACTACAATATCAATACTGAGGTTGTGAGAAACCACAGAGAAGGGAAAAAAAAGCCACTGGGAAGCAAGTTTAAGATTAGGGGAAAGTGGCCAGGCTCAGTGGCTCACGCCTGTAATCCCAGCACTTTGGGAGGCCAAAGCGGGTGGATCACGAGGTCAGGAGATTGAGACCATCCTAGCTAACATGGTGAAACCCCATCTCTACTAAAAATACAAAAAATTAGCCACGCGTGGTGGCAGACGCCTGTAGTCCCAGCTACTCCAGAGGCTGAGACGGGAGAATGGCATGAACCGGGGAAGCGGAGCTTGCAGCGAGCCGAGATCGCGCCACTGCACTCCAGCCTGGGCTACAGAGAGAGACTCCATCTCAACAACAACAACAACAACAACAACAACAAAGATTAGGGGAAAGTGGGAGGCTAAGTAATATCTCTAGACATGTAAAATCAAAATTTGACCATTTCATTTATCAGTGGGTGTAAGAATCCTACATTGAAAAAGCAATTTTTTAAAAATAATAACTAGATAAAAGCAAAATGGAGAAGAAATCGATATGACCATATTTTCTCTACTCTTCCAAAGCTGAAAATGTATGAAGATGCTCTAGAAACAGCACCAGCTAGGGGTTTAAAATGTGCAAGCAGGCCAGGCGCGGTGGCTCACGCCTGTAATCCCAGCACTTTGGGAAGCCGAGGTGGGCAGATCACAAGGTCAGGAGTTCGAGACCAGCCTGGCCAATATGGTGAAACCCCATCTCTACTAAAAATACAAAAATTAGCCGGGCATGATGGCAGGCATCTGTAGTCCCAGCTACTCGGGAGGCTGAGACAGGAAAATCGCTTGAATCCCGGAGGTGGAGGTTGCAGTGAGCCAAGATCCCGCCATTGCACTCTAGCCTGGATGACAAGAGTGAAACTCCGTCTAAAAAAAAAAATGTGCAAGCAAAGGCTGTTCTGCTTTCATCAGGTATCTCGCCTTTTCACTTCCCCGCTCCTGCACTGGAATTTCCTTCACTCAAGAGTGAGCTTTCCCTAGCTCTTCTCAGATAGATGGAAGGGCTACCTTGCCGACTTTCTCTCCAACACTCTCTCAGCTCTAATCCTTCCCTCCAGGTCCCCCAATTAATCTTCCTAAAGCACAGTTCTGATCAAACTGCTCTGAACCAAAGCCTTTGGTGGTTCTTCCCATCTCCTAATGAGGACAAACCAAATTATTTCATGTGAATTTACAGCTGAAGCTGGAAATTTCCCAGCACTCCACTTTGAGTATCCTACACTTCAGCTAAATTGTGTTACAGTCTCCGGAGTCACCCTGTACTTTTCAGTCTCTACTTTTCTTTTTTTCTCCTTGCCTGTTTCCACTTCTTCAGATGTGTTTAAAATATCACCTATGAAATTAAATTGCTCTCGATCTCTCAACTTGAGTTTATTTATCAACCTTGCCAGCATTTGGTTTGCACGTCCCCGGTGGGATTTGTCCTGTAGCAATGTGGAGTAGAGCAGAGGAAGTATTTTGTTTGGTCGTGTTTACAGTTGTTCTCAGTAACTACCAATCCCTCTCCCAGTCCCCAGAACAAAGCTAATAGCCATTTACGCAAATGAATTAATACTTTTGTTCTCAATAACTCATTTGTTGGAAATAGTCACATGACAATGCAGGAGACGATTTAAATGCTCCTTTCCTAGAGTACTCAAATATAATATCATGCCTTCCTTCTGATCGCATGGAGACCTTGTAAGTTTTTCTGCCTTTGTCATTCCTCACATCTACTTACCTATAACATTCCACGCACATTCATGTGTCATATATTGCACAGTGAGAAAGGCAGTTAAAACAGACTGCTGACTGGAGTTTCAACATATTTGATAGACAAATGCTTATTATGCAGAATATTTGAAAAACTAAGAAAAAGATAACCAAATAAAAAATAAATGAACACAAGATATGGATACATAAGTCACAGATATAATGCAGATGGCAATAAACATAAAAGCTGATCAACCTCAATATTTATCTTTGAAATTGAAAATATAATTTCATCCAACTAAATAGAAAAACATTTAAATATTCACAGTATCAATTGTTTGTCAAGGTATGAGAAACCAATAGTCTCTCACGTTACTGTGAATGTAAAGTGGTAAATCCTCTAATGAGGTGGAGGTGGGGTATTGGCTGTTTTTATGATGTTTGTAAGTGTATACTTTCTACCAGGCAGTAATTCTCATTAACCATATCTCACCTAAAAAAACAACTACACTTAAGAACAAGGAGGCATATACAAGGATGCTCAATAGATCATTTATTTTGAATAATGAAAAACTGAAAACTAATGCCCATCATTCTTCAACGACTATAAAATCCATAGTATGTTATATAGTTTTTATGTACTTTGTAATCTTTAAAAAAAAAAATCAAGATGGGCCAGGCATGGTGGCTCATGCCTGTAATCCCAACACTTTTGGAATTTGAGGTGGAAGAATCGCTTGAGGTCAGGAGTTCAAGATTAGCCTGGGATACAGAGTGAGACCTTGTCTCTACAAAAAGTATTTTTTAAAAACAAGATGAGCATGGTGCTGTGCACCTGTAGTCCCAGCTATTCAGGAGGCTGAGGTGGGAGGATCGCTTGAGCCTAGAAGTTAGAAACTACAGTGAGCCCTGTTCAAGCCACTGCACTCTAGCCTGGGTGACACACACACAGAGAGAGAGAGAGAGAGAGAGAGAGAGAGACCCTATCTTAAAAAAAAAAAAAACAACTTCAAGATAATTTATGAACAAAAAACTGAAAATGATAAGGTATCATGTGTGGTATTTAAATTAAAATACCACATATTTCTATTGTTATAGTTATTTATACATATAAATGAATTTTAAATGTCTGGAAGGGTACATAAGCAATCCCAAATGGTGGATGCTGACAGAGAAGGGAAAGCAAGCTGGCCAAGACCCAACCTTCTATAACCTTATCCTCACATTTACAAACACATGTATTTACATTTTGTTCTTTTTTGTCTGATTTTACCAAATTAGAATTATACTCTATACTTCTCCACGACAGATTTTGTCACTTAAATGTCATGTATTTCAAGAATATATCCAGCAATTAGTAGATATATACAAATATGTTTTATAATTTATCTATGTGTACGTGTAGATATCCACACATATACATACTCATATAATGTTTTATACACAGGATCATATCATACATCCTGGTGAAGTAAGAGGCAGAACTTGTCTCTGGAGGCCAGGTTCAGACACCAGACCAAATTAACAACTAGCTAAAACAGGGATGGGGCAGAAGCAGCTTTCTGTGAGACACCCCTACAGTGTGCCATGTCAGTTTACCATTGCCATGGCAACACCCTGGAGCTGCTGCCTCTTTCCACAGCCATGACCAGATGACCCAGAAATGGCTACCCTTTTCCTAGAAATTTCTGCATAAACCACCCCTTAATCTGCATGTAATTAGAAGTAGGTATAAACACGACTTACAGAACTGCCCTGAGCTGCTACTCTCAACACATTGCCTATGGAGGAGCTCTGCTCTGCAGGAGCAGTCACAGAGCTGCAACACTGCCTGAGCTGTAACACCCCCGGACCTGGAACACTGCTGCTTCAACAAAGCTGTTTTCTTCTACCGTGGGTTGACCCTTAAGTTCTTTCCCGGGCAAAGCAAGAAACCCTCCCAGCCTAAGCCCCAGTTGGGGCCTCACCTGTCCTGCATCACTGGGTTCTCATTTTTTTTTTTAATGCCATAGACTTTTCCTATTATTTTGCTTGCTTCTCTAACTCCTATCCTCCCTATTATCTCGACTCACAGCTTGTCCTTCCCAGATAATCAGGTACAGCAAATCATTACACATTCTTTTCTGTTTTCTCCATGTTCACATGTCCATGTACTTTTCACATAAGCACATTTACACACATTTATATATAGTATCTATTTCTAAACATAAAGATAGTATATTTAAAATGGAATCATTTACAAAAATAGGGCATTATATGTGCTTCGATTTGTTTCACTTTCTCAGTCTCATAATACGACATCAAAATCTTTTCATATCAATGGACAGAGCTTGAATGCATTACTTATGAACCTTGCATAATCTTCCACGGTGTGTGTGTGTGATTGTATCCTAATGTATTCAACAATCCCCCAGTTGGATATTTACTTCTTTCCAGTATTGTGATCTGAATGTTGCCGAAAATATAAACAACCTTGTTCTGCATCTTTGAAAACTATTAGTGCTTTTATTTTAATATAATAAAGTCCCAAGAATTTGACTGTTGGGTTAAAGTCTATAAAATAACTCCAGGCTAACCAAGGAAGGAGGTGAGTTGTTGGTGAGAGAATAGGACTGAGAATTTGAAAGGCAGATAAATAGTCTTGATGATTATATTAAAGAAATTAATCAAGCCTACCATGGAAGGAATTAGACCCTGAGAAAATCAGGTTACCACTGAGTTTTTGAAAGGTTATTCTGAGGCTCTGAGATTCAATGGTTATTCTGGTGATGGAATGGGATGGGATAGGGCAGTGGAGGAGAGAGGGAGACTGGATGAGATTAGACTAACTAGGACATATCTACCTGCAATCATCTCCAAGCAAGAATATGATAGTTGGCTACATAAAAGAGCAACTCAAACCTATTTGAGACATATTTAGGTTATAAAATCAATAGGAATCAGGATTGGAAATTTGGTGGGAGGTAAAGTAAGTGTCAAGGATGACTCTTAGGTTTCTAAGTGGATGTACTAAAGAGTAACCAGGTTCGGGAGACAAGACCATGAGTTCAGTTCTGGATTTCTGGGTTTTAAAGAGTCTTTGTGACATTCTGAGAGAAAGTGTCAAGTAGAAAGCTGGTGCTCAGAGATTTCTTGGATACATATAAACAAGGTGGTAACTGAACCTGAGAAATCAATTTCTACCAGGCTGATGTGACAAGGGTCTCTAAAGTGACTCTAGGAATAAACTACTTTTTATATCCCAAAAGCCTGAAATCATCAGAGGTAGAGAAAATGACGGGAAAGGAAAGGAGAAAAGACATGACTGCTTTCCACGTTCGGTTTTATATTAGGAACGGTGGAAAATGATGAAGAGAAGATACAGTTACTATCATCATCCTGCCAAGTCTGACTATTTAGGCATTCGAGAAAGTATTTTAAAGGGGGGTGGGGGGCACTTCCTTACTCCTTTCAATTTTTTCATAAATATAAGTTTAGTGGCTTCATTTTTAAAATCTTGCTTGCTTGTAGTATAATATGAAGGCTTGTGACTTATTTATTTATTTATTTACTTATTTATTTATGACAGAGTCTCTCTCTATCACCCAGGCTAGAGTGCAGTGGCACGATGTCAGCTCACTGCACCCTCCGCCTCCCGGGTTCAAGCAATCCTCGTGCTTCAGTCTCCTGAGTAGCTGGGATTATAGGTGTGCACCTCCATGCCCAGCTAATTTTTGCATTTTTAGTACAGCCTGGGTTTCACCATGTTTCCCAGGCTGGTCTCAAACTCCTGACCTCAGGTAATCTCCCCACCTTGGCCTCCCAAAGTGCTGGGATTACAGGCGTGAGCCACCGCACCTGGCCGCTTGTTTTTTATTTTTGTTTGTATTCATCCATCTCTTACATTTAACATGATCTCTTTTTTTTTTCAACAGGCTTAATAATTCTAAGATGGCGGATTAGTAAACTATGGCCAGGAGTGTCCTTTATTGTCTCTGAACAGGGTAAGAGTGGTTTTGTGATACTACTAATACCTCTTTGTTCTAAGGCTACTCAGCTGATGATCAGTGTATGAAAAAGCCAATAGCAAAGTCAGACGACACCAGGCCGTGGGGTGGAAAGCTTTTCTGTATTATCTTCTGTTGTGGGTTACGGATTTTCCAATGTGAATGAAGGACACTCTATCAGAGATCACTGATGACTGTGATGTGCATTTTAATTACATAGATTATATTGTTTGTTGATCAACAAATGACGAAGATATCACATTCTAATCCATATTACATATTATGGATTTTAAAAATATTTATGATTCATACTTTCACCCAAGTTAGTGAGAAACACCAATATATTCAAATTATATATATATACACACACACACACATATATATACACACATATATATACACACATATATAAATACACACACACACATATATATATACACACACACACATATACACACACACACACATTAAACTGGAAACAACTTTGCTTTTGATGTATGCTCTTAACTAGAGAATCCATCTTAATGGTCCTTGTGAATATAATAATTCTCGGTGCATATGGATAAATCATTGAATAAAATGGTTGCTTGGTATAAAACTAGAAGCATAGCATCCAGACAAAGATATTTGTCTGAGACATGTTTACTCTCATCTCTCTGGAAATAAACCACTTTTAGGAGGTCAAGATAATGTTTAGTCCTATTTTCACATTGCTGCACCTGCAAAAAATCTAATTCAATCAAATGCACATAGATTTTTCAAAGGGATTCAGTTTCTGAACCGTGTTCTTAGAGTCCTTGGGAAATTTCAGCATGACCAATCCTTCTTTAATGTGGGGGACCCATCTGAGGATGATCACAGCTGCCAATGGCCTAGCCATAAACTTGAAGCTACCCAGCCACATACTAGGCCACATTCCCTTCAACATCCCCCAAAATAAATTTGCTGTGACCCAAACCCGAAATAATGCACAATTATTAAAATGACCACTTTGGGAAGTAATGAAATGTACCTCAGAGTAGCATTTTTCTAAGTGTTTTTAGCAGAAAATCCATAACTTGTTCAGTCAAAAATGGGCTTCTTGGTTAAATATATACTGGAAATGCTTTACTTAATACAGTTAACAGGTATTTTTAAATAGCAATATTTCTTTTTTATTAGTATTATACTTTAACTTCTAGGGTACATGTGCACAACGTGCAGGTTTGATACATATGTATACATGTACCATGTTGGTTTGCTGTGCCCATTAACTCATCATTTACATTAGGTATTTCTCCTAATGCTATCCCTCCCCCAGTCCCCCACCCCCTGACAGGCCCCGGTGTGTGATGTTCCCCACCCTGTGTCCAAGTGTTCTCATTGTTCAATTCCCACCATGAGTGAGAACATGAGGTGTTTGGTTTTCTGTCCTTGTGATAGTTTGCTGAGAATGATGGTTTCCAGCTTCATCCATGTCCCTGCAAAGGACATGAACTCATCCTTTTTTTTAGCTGCATAGTATTCCGTGGTGTATATGTGCCACATTTTCTTAATCCAGTCTATCATTCATGGACATCTGAGTTGGTTCCAAGTCTTTGCTATTGTGAATAGTGCCACAATAAACATACATGTGCATGTGTCTTTATAGTAGCATGATTTGTATAATCCTTTGGGTATATATCCAGCAATGGGAATGCTGGGTCAAATGGTATTTCTAGTTCTAGATCCTTGAGGAATTGCCACACCGTCTTCCACAATGGTGAACTAATTTACACTCCCACCAACAGTGTAAAAGCATTCCTTTTAATAGCAGGATTTCTTAGAGCCTTTGACATGATCTGCGTGGAAACCACCCACATTTCCCTCTAGGAGATGACTATTGTGTGTAGGCTTTCCCTGAACTTAATTAAGATCATGCAACTTTTTTTTTCTTCAAAGAATACCTATTAACATCTAAATGAACATGAGTGAACTACAAAAAAAGCAGTTTTAAAAACTTCTTTAGATGAACCACGTGGATTCTGTAAATGAGAAATACACTTGTACAGTCTAAATGCATCTAGTTTGTCAGTGAAGCCTCAGTCCTGCCCCAGGCCCTGGGCAGCTTGGGCTGCCTTAGAACCCAGACAGTACATGCAGTGGAGAAGCCCAAATGCCTGATGTTTGCATTCCTGAATTAAGAAATGGAAGATGAAAGATGTAGCATGGGAACACTCCCAGAGCTATTTAGAATAGATTATATACACCTCTACCAAAATGTGGTTTTAATATTTATTATTTTTCTCTTGCCCTTATTTCCAATAACCTAATTTGATAAGCAGGATTTTTGACAGGACTTAAGATAAATGCAGATACAACGCTAATAATATCAGAGTATTTATCTGCATAAAAGTTTAAATGGAAGCATTCTGTGCATTCATTAGAAGAATCATAGATTATCACAGTTGTCTTGCTGTGCTCTCATGGAAGATATGAAGTGTTAGTAATTTAAGATTCAATAAAATATTATAAATGCCTGAAATTAAATCTAATTCAATGCATTAAATCAAGAAGTTTCTGCTGTGGCATTTGAGGTCATTTCAGTTTAACAAATATTGCCAGACACTTTAACAATCACTGGGGATAAACAAATGACAAAGTCTAGTGAATTATCTGTATAAGCTTCCAGTTTTACTGGTGAGGTGGACATAGAAGAATGTTCAACACAACATGGGGTTAAGATGAATGGCTGAAGTACTGCATGTACTTTAATAGACCTGGAACATGACAGGAAGGGAGGGCAAGTCAGGAGACTTGGAATGAGATTGATATGTGACAAGGGTGGTATCGCTACAAAGGGAACTTTACACCATGCTATGGGGCTTGTATTTTTTCAGACAGATACAAAGAAGGCCAAGCTACAGGCAAAAAGATCAATTTGGAGACAATTGCTGTGGTCCAGCCAATGCATGATAAAGGCCAGATTTCTTAAGTTGATGATCAGATATTCATTGGGGAATCATATATGAATCAAGACTTCAACTCTAGGGATACAGTGGTAAGCACAACCAACAGTCTCTTGCCTTTGGGCATCTGCAAATCAATATAAAATATAGAAAATAAATAATTGCATTCATGCAAAATGCTGTAAAAGAGAAGTTACAGTGTTGCCAGAGTACATTACAAAGTTACCCAACCATTTCTACAGAGGAAAGCTTCCCATAGTTAGTGGTATCTATTCGCAACACAGAAATGAGGAGTAGCATTAACATTAGCTAGATAAAGGTGCTTGGGAGGATGGCCAGGGGAGAGCCTATTTCATTCAAAACACCAACAAGAGTCATGAGAGAAGACCGAATGCTAAAGGAACCAAGAGAACTCCAGCATAGCTAGAGCAAGGGAGTATTACGAGTGGTGCCAGACAAAGGTAAAGTGGTGGTAAAGGCCAGAATGTGCAAAGTACTAAAGGTCAGTATAAAGGCTTTTAAATTTCATTCTAAGGTAAATAAAAACCATTGGAAGATTTCAAGCATAATATATTTTATCTTTTAAAAATAGCATTCTGACTTCTGTGTAGAGAGTAGACTAGGGAGGTTAAAGTGGCCATGAAAAAGTGAGTTAACCTATTGGAGTGTCAGCAGTGTAGCTGCATGCCCAGCTGGTAATACCCAATGTCTAGCAGTGCCTAGGACACTGTAAACACTCAATATACATTACTTGAATATTCGAATGAATGTTTGAGATTATCCTCTTACTTAAATGTATCAGACTCATAAATTTCTTAAATAACAAAAATAGTTTTTCAGGATCTGAAAGTTGAGCATCCGTGGGGAAAACAAACAAAACCTTTGATATATGAGAACTTTTTTTTATCTGAAGGACCTTGTAGTGTTAAAGACAAAATGTTTCTAAAAACATATTTAATATGTCATAGTGAATAACAAATTAAATGACACATTATTCCTCTGAGTCTCCAAAGCCTCAGAAAGAGTATGCCAACAGAAAGAACAAACCCACACATAGAAATTACTTCCTGGCATATACTGGTTTTCTATTTGCATGAGTCAATTTTCAAAAGTATACATTGTAATTTTTTTATAACAGCTTTATTGTTATATAGTTCACAGAACATAAAATTCGCCCTTTTGAAATCCACAATTCAGTGAATTTTGTTATATTCACAGAGTAGTGCAACCATCAACATTATCTAATTTTACAATATTTTTGTTACCCCCTCCAAAAAAACCCATATTGCCTTAGCAGTAACTCCCCAGTCCCCTGCACCTCTTAGCCCCTGGCAACTATTAATCTACTTTCTATCTCCATGAATTTGCTGTCCTGGACATTTCATATAAACAGAATCTTACAATATGCGGTCTTTTGGACTGACTTCTTTCACAAACCGTGTTAAAGTAATTAATTAGGAGGCCATTAGACTGAGGTGGCATCAGCTTTCTGGACTCCGACATATACATACGGAAACCCAACTCAGAGTATACAGTCATATCCCAGGGGAAAAACAAAAAAAAAACAAAAACAAAAAACGTAAACTTAAGCAATCAGAAATAGCCAAGGAATCTCTATCTAGAACTTTAAGACTATGTCCTCCCTTTATCAATCAAATATTGCCTTTGTCTTGTTTCCGTGAATACCTTATAAACGCTTTTCCCTCACACACCTTCTGTGAGGTCCCAATCGCTTGAGGTCTGGCACTGACCAATTCATTAACTCCTGTCTGCTCAGCTATATACTTTAAAATTTTAATATGCCTAAGTTTATTTATCAAGGTCCAATAATATTGTGGCATGTAACAGTACTTCGTTCCTTTTTATTACCAAAAAATATTCCATTATATGTATATAGAACATTTTATTTGTCCATTCATCAGTTGATAGACATTTAGACTGTTTCCAGTTTTTGACTATTAGGAATATGCTGTGATGATCATCTATGTATTTTTTTTGTGGATATATATATATTATGTTATCTTGGGAATATACCTTGGCATGAAATTAGCTGGGTCAAATGCTAGCTCTCAATTTAACTTTTTGAGGAACTGCCAAAGTGTTTTCCAAAGTGACTGCAGCATTTTACATTCCCTCCAGCAATGTTTGCATGCTCAGTTTTTTCCACAGCCTCACAAACACTTTGCTACTATTTATCTTTGTTTTTATTATTTTTTTTGAGACAGGGCCTTGCTCTGTCACCCAAGCTGGAGTGCAGTGGCGCGATCATGGCTCACTGCAGCCTGGATGTCCCAGGCTTATGTGATCCTCACAC